>NC_000010.11:87567337-87718852 GCF_000001405.40 Homo sapiens
GAAGTGGTGTGACTGCTTCTAACAGCCTACACTTGGATACAGAACAAAGAAATGACTTAAAGTTGGAAATTATATTTATACAGGAAGCAGAGTGTAATAGTTTGAAAAATTTGCAGCCTAATCATGTGGTAGAGAAAAATAAAACTTTTTGGGGAAAGGAATTAAAGCAGACTATAGGAGAACCACTTACTAAAGACGTTTGCGTAACTAAAAGGGAGGCAAATGCTAATATACAAGGCGAAAATGCCTCAAAGCCATTTCAAAGACCTTCTGGCAGCCCCTCCCATCACAGGCCTAGAGGCTTATGAGGGAAGAATGGTTTCCTATGCCAGGTCTGGGGCACCATTGCCTTGTGCAGCCTTGGGACATTGCTCTCCACATCCCAGCTGCTCCAGCTCCAGCTCCAACCCTGGCTTAAAGGCGCCCATGTACAGTTCAAGCTGTCACCTCAGAAAATGCAAGCTGTAAGCCTTGGTGGCTTCCATGTGGTGTTAAGCCTGCAGGTGCAAACAATTTAAGAGTTAAGGAGGCTTGGCAGCCTCTGCCTAGATTTCAGAAGGTGTATAGGAAAGCCTGAGTGCCCAGACAGAAGCCTGTTGCAGGGGCAGAACCCTCACAGAGAACCTCTACTAGGACAGTGTGGAGGAGAAATATGGGATTGGAGTCCTCACACAGAGTCCCCAATGGGGCACTGACTAGTGGAGCTGTGGGATGGGGCAACTGTCCTTCAGACCCCAGAATGGGCAATCTACCAGCAGCTTGCACCCTGCACCTGGAAAACCTGTATGCATTCAACTCCAACCAATGAGAGCAGCCCTGGGGGTTGAACCGTGAAAATTCACAGAGGTAGAGCTGCCAAAGACCTTGGGAGCCCACTCCTTTCACTAGTGTGCCCTGGATGTGGGAAATGGAGTCAAAGGAGATTATTTTGTAGCTTTAATATTTAATAACTCTCCTGCTGGGTTTCAAACTTGCATAGGGCCTGTAGCCCCTTTCTTTTGGCCTATTTCCTCCTTTTGGAACAGGAATGTTTATCCAAACCCTATACCCCCATTGTATCTTGAAAGTAACTAAATTGTTTTTATTTTACAGGCTCATAGGTGGAAAGGATTTGCCTTGTCTCTGATGAGACTATGGACTTTTGGGGTAATGCTGGAATGAGTTAAGACTTTGGGGTACTGTTGAGAAAGCATGATTATATTTTGCAATGTGAGAAAGACATGAGATTTGAGAGGGCCTAGGGTTAGAACTATGTAGTTTGGATATTTGTCACCACCCACATCTCATCTTGCATTGTAGTCACCAGTGCTGGAGATGAGGCCTGGTGGGAGATGTTTGGATCATGACAGCAGATCCCTCAGGGCTTGGTGCTGTCTTTGTGATAGTGAGTTCTCACAAGATCTGGTCATTTAAAAGTGTGTGACACCTCCCCCCGCCCCCTGTCTTTCTTGCTTCTGCTATTGTCATGAGCTGTGCCTGCTGCTGCTTTGCCTTCTGCCATAAGTAAAAGCTCCCTGAGGCTTCCCCAGAAGCTGATGCCAGCACTGTCTCCTGTACAGCCTACAGAACTGTGAGCTAATTAAACGTCTTTTTTTTTTTTAATAAATTACCCAGTCTCAGGTATTTCTTCATGGCAACGTGAGAACTGCCTAATAGATTGGGTGACAGAGTGAGACCCTGTCTCAAAAAGAAAAAAAAGGAGACAGATAGACTCCAATACAATAATAATTGGGACTTCAAGAACCCAATCTCAGCATTAGACAGATCATCTGAACAGAAAATTAACAAACAAACATTGGATTTAAACTGAACATTAGACCAAGTAGACCTAATAGACATTTACAGAACACTTCATCCATCAGCTACAGAATACACATTCGTCTCATCAGCGCATGAAACATCCTCCAAGATACACCATAAGTTAGAAAAAAAAACAATTTTAATTCTTAAAAATTAAAATTTCAGATAAGAACATGTTCTGGCAAAAAAAAATTTTTTTTAAATCAAAATCAAAATTATACCCAGTATCTTCTCAGACCACCATAGAATAAAACTAGAAATCAATAACAAGAGGAACTTTGGAAACCACACAAATACATGGCAATTTAACAACATACTCCTGAATGACCATTTGGTCATGGAAAAAATGGATGAAGGAAATAAAAACTTTTCTTGAAACAAATAAAAATCAAGACACAACACACCAACACCTATGGGATATAGCAAAACAGTGCTAAGAGAAAAGTTTATAGCCATCAGTCTCTACATCAGAAAAGTTGAAAGATTTCAAATAAACAATCTAACAGTGCACCTCAAGAAACTAGAAAAGCAAGAACAAACCAAACCCAAAATTAGTAGAAGAGAAATAATAAAGACCAGAGCAGAACTAAAACAATGGAGACCCCCCCAAAAAAACAAAAACAAAACAAACAAACAAAAAACCAACGAACCAAACAAAAAACCCCAAAGGAACAACTAAACAAAAAGTTCGGTTTTTGAAAAGATAAACATTGAAAAACCACTTAGTAGACTAACCAAGAAAAAAAAGACCCAGATAAATAAAACAAAAAAGGAAACATTACAACTGATACCATACAAATACAAATGATCATTAGAGACTGTTATGAACAACTATACACCAACAAACTGAAGTGGATGTATTCCTGTATTTATACAACCTACCAAGACTGAATTAGGAAGAAATAAAAAACCTGAACAGATCAATAACAAATAATGAAATTAAAGCAGTAACAAGAAGTTCCCCAACAAAGAAAACTCCAAGACCAGCTGGGTTCACTGCTGAATTCTACCAAACTTTCAAAGAAGAACTAATATCAATTCTCTTCAAACTATTGCAAAGGCTTGAAGAGGAGGGAATTCTCCCTAACTCATTCCATGACGCCAGCATTATCCTGACACTCAAACCAGAAAAGGATGCAACAACAAAAAAGAAAACTATAGAATAATATTCCTGATGAATATAGATGCAAATATTCTCCAAAAAATGCAACAAAACTGAATCCAGCAGCACATCCGAAAAATAATACACCATGATTGAGATTTTTTCCCAGGGATGCCAGGATGGTTCAACATATGCATATTAATAAACATGATACATCACATCAACAAAATAAAGGACAAAGATGATATGATCCTCTCAACTGTTGCAGAAAAGGATTTGATAAAATTCAACATCCCTTCACAATAAAAACTCTCACAAAACTAGGCATAGAGGAAACATACCACCACATAATACATTTTGTATATGACAAACCTACAGCTAACATCATACTGAATGGGGAAATTTTGAAAGGCTTTCCTCTAAGAACTGGAACAAGAGAAGGATACTCACTTTCACCACTTCTATTCAACATAGTACCAGAAGTTCTAGCCAGAGCAATCAGGCAAGAGAAATAAATAAAAGGCATCTTAGTTAGAAAAGAGGAAATCAAATTGTCCCTCTCTGCAGATAATATAATCTTACATCTAGAAAAACCTAAAGGCTCCACCAAAAAATTCTTAGATCTGATGAATAAATTCAGTAAAGTTGCAGGGTACAAATCAACATACAAAAATCAGTGTATAACATTTCTATACACCAATAATGAGCTAGCTGAGAAAGAAATCAAGAGAACAATCCCATTTACAATAGCTACAATAAAATAAATACTTAGAAATAAATCTAACCAAAGTAATGAAAGATGTCTACAGGGAAAACTACAAAGCACTGATGAAAAAATTGAAGAGGACACAAACGTGGCAAGACAGCACATGCTCATGGATTGGAAGAATTAATATAATTAAAATGACAGTACTACCCACGGCAATCTACAGATTCAATGCAATCCTTATCAAAATACCAATGATATTTGTCACGGAATTAGAAAAAAAATCCTAAAATTTATACAGAATTAAAACAGAGTGAGATTAGCCAAATCAATCTTCAGCAAAAAGAACAAAGTTGGATGCTTCAGACTACATGAGTTCAAAATATATTACAAGGCTATAGTAATCAAAACAGCATGGTATTGGTATAAAATAGACACATATAGCAATGGGACAGAATAGAAAACGCAAATAAAATCCACATTTTGACATCCAAATGAGCTTAACAAAGCTGTCAAGAACATACACTGGGGAGAGGACACCCACTTCAATAAATAGTGCTGGGAAAATTCAATATCCATATGCAGAAAGATGAAATTAGACCCTTGTCTCTCACCATATACAAAAATCAACTCACAATGGATTAAAGACTGAAACTATAAAATGACTAGAAGAAAACATAGGAGAAACATTTCAGGACATTGGTCTAGGCAAAGATTTTATGGCTAGAACTCAAAAGCTCAGGCAACTAAAATAAAAATAAACAAAAGGGACTATATTACCCTAAAATACTTCAGGACAGCAGAGGAAACAAATGACAAAGAGACAACCTGTTGGATGGGAAAAAATATTTGCAAACAATTCATCTGACAAAAGACTGGTATCCAGAATATATAAAGAACTCAAACAACTCAAAAGTAGAAAACAAATAATCCCAGTAAAAAGTGGGCAAAGGGCATGAATAAACATTTCTCAAAAGAAGATGTACAAATGGCCAACAGGTATATGAAAAAATACTCCACACTTCCAATCATCAGGGAAATGCAAACCAAAAGCACAATGAGATATCATCTTAGCCCAGTTAGAATGGTAATTTTTAAAACAACAACAAAAAGATACTGGCGGCTGGGCACAGTGGCTCATGCCTGTAATCCCAGCACTTTAGGAGGCCAAAGTGGGCAGATCACGATGTCAGGAGTTCGAGACCAGCCTGACCAACATGGTGAAACCCCATCACTATTAAAAATACAAAAATTAGCCAGGCATGGTGGCACGCACCTGTAATCCCAGCTACTCGGGAGACTGAGGCAGGAGAATCACTTGAACTCAGGAGGCAGAAGTTGCAGTGAGCCAAGGTCATGCCACTGCACTCCAGCTGGGGTGACAGAGCAAGACTCCATCTCAAAAAAAAAAAGACACTGGCAAATGTGGAGAAAACAACACTCTTTATACACCATTGATGGGAATATGGATTAGTACAACCACTACAGAAAACAGTTTGGTGATTTATCAAAAAACTAAAGATAGAACTACCATATGATTCAGCAAGGCCACTACTGAGTATTTATCGAAGAAAAGGAAATTGGTATATCACAGGGATACCTACACTTGCGTGTTTATTGCAGCCTTATTCATAATAGCAAAGATACAGAATCAACTGAAGTGTTCATCAATGAATGGATAAAGAAAATGTATATATACACAAAGGAATACTATTTGGCCATTAAAAAGAATGAAATCATGTCATTTGCAGCAATATGGATGGAGCTGCAGCTCATTATGCAAGTGAAATAAATGAAGCACAGAAAGACAAATACTACATGTTCTCACTCATATGTGGGAGCTGAAAAAGTTAATCTTATGGAGGTAGAGAATACAAATGATAGATACCAGAGGCTGGGAACAGTGTGTGAGAGTAAGGGAGCTTAAAGAGATGTTGGCTAATGGGTATAAACATACAATTAGATAGAAGATATAAGTTCTAATGTTCAAAAGCAGAGTAGAATGACTATAGCTGGCAATAATGTGTTGTATATTTCAAGTTAGCTAGAAGAGAGGACTTGAAATGGTCCCAACACATAGAAATGATAAGTAAGGTGATGGATACGCCAAATACCCTGACTTGATCACTACATATTGTATTCATGTAGCAAATACATGTACCCTACAAATATGTAAATATTATGTATCAATTGAAACAAAAACAAAAAATGGGTTTTCTTCTTAATGAGATGTTAGTGTTTTTTATATATTCTGATATAAATCCTTTATCAGATATGTTTTTCAAATAGTATCTCCCAACCTTTGGTTTCTTTTGATCAACATGGTTTATAAAATTTATTCATGTTGTTTCATGAGACATCATTCATTCATTCTCAGGGTTGTATTATATTTCATTGTATGAATACACCACAATTTCTCTATTCTTTTCTTGATGAACATTAGTGTAATTTAAAACTTTTGGCTATCAGAATAGTGTTGCTATTAACATTCTGTGTCTTTTGGTGAACATATATATGCATTTCTGAACTTATGTATGCAATTTTATTTAGAATGGAATTGCCAGGTCATAAGGTATGTGTATGCTCAGCTTTGGTGTATACTGCTAAAAGGTTTTCCAAAAAAGTTGTACCAGTTTACACTCCCGCCAATGGTATGTGAAAGTGCCATTGGCTGATATTCTACCACCACTTGGTACTATCTGTCATTTTCATTTCATCCATTATTGTGGTGTGTTGAGGTATCTCATAGTAGTTATAATTTGAATTTCTTTGATGACTAATGAAATTAGTCCCCTTTTAAAATTGCCATTATGTAACTTCTTTTGTGAAGTGATTATTTATATATTTTGCCCATTTTTCTACTGGATTGTCTGCCATTTCTTATATTGATTTGTAGGCTGTGGTAGCTTTTAGGTTTTATACTTTATCCTTAATATTCTGAAATGTAATTACAGAATTGCCCTTATTTAGTATGAGGGGATAGACCTAAAAGTCATATCTTTTCCAAATTCTGGAAACTTCTCAATATTTCTTTCTTTAAATATTATTTCTCAGGCATTTTCTCCATTCTCCTTTCCTAGAACTCCTATTGGATATATTAATATGATGGATTTTTTTCCATCTGTCCACCTTTTAGTCAATTCTCCAAGACTTTTTGCTGCTTTCCTATATTTTTAAACTTTTATCTCTCTGTGCTACTTTTAGCAATTTCCTTACTACTGTTGTCCAGTCTAGAATTAATTCAATCTTTTGATGTTTCTTTAACAAATTTCTTTACTAATCTTTAAAGATTTTACTGACCACTTAAAAATAATTTCCAATACTTCTAATTGGACCTTTTCCATATTCACCTATTTTATTTCTGCCTGTTTTTACTTTAGCTTTTGTTTTTCTTTTAAAGTTCAAGTTGATCTTCAATATATCTCTTTGACCATTCAAACATTTGAAGTCTTTGTCAGCCTGTTTCAGAAATTAATTTTTTATTTTAATGTTTAATTTTTGTGAGTACATAGTAGGTGTATACATTTATGATGTACATGAGATGTTTTAATACAGGCATGCAATGTGTAATAATCACATCATGTAGAATGGGATATTCATTCCCTCAAGCATTTATCCTTTGTATTACAAACAATCCAATTATACTCTTTTAGTTATTTTTTTAATGTACAATTAAGTTATTATTGACTATAGTCACCCTGTTTTGCTATCAAATAGTAGGCCCCTTTGTCAAAAATGAGTTCACTGTAAGTGTGTGGATTTGTTTCTGGGCTCTCTATTCTGTTCCATTGCTCTATGTCTGTTTTTATGCCAGGACCATGCCATTTGGGTTACTACAGCTCTGTGGTGTAATTTGAAATCAGGTAATGTGATTCCTCCAGTTTTCTTCTTTTCGCTTAGGAAAGCTTTGGCTATTCTGGATCTTTTGTGGTTTCATATAAATTTTAGGATTTTTTTTTCTATTTCTGTGAAGAATGTCATTGGTATTTTGACAGGGATTGCGTTGAATCTGTGGATTGCTTTGGGTAGTATTGATATTTTAATAATATTGAATCTTCCAATCCATGAACATGAAACATCTTTTCATTTTTGGTGTCCTCTTCAATTTCTTTCATCAGTGTTTCAGAGTTTTCATTATAGAGAACTTACACTTCTTTGGTTAATTACTAGGTATTTAATTTTATTTGTGGCTATTGTAAATGGAATTACTTTTTTATTTCATTTTCAGATTGTTCACTGTCAGCATATAGAAATGCTACTGATTTTTGTATATTGATTTTGTATCCTGAAACTTCACTGAATTTGTTTATCAGTTCTAATAGTTTTTGGTGGATTCTTCAGATTTTTTCCAAATATAAGATTATATCATCTGCATACAAGGATAATTCAACTTCTTCCTTTCCAATTTGGATGGCCTTATATTTTCCTCGTCTGATTGTTCTACCTAGGAATTTTAGTACTATGTGGAATAACAGCTAACAGTGGTGAAAATGGGCATCCTTGTTGCATTCCAGATCTTAGAAAAATGCCTTTCAGTTTTTTCCCATTCAGCCTGATACTGTGTGTCTATTGTATATGACTTTTATTATGTTGAGGTATGTTCCTTCTATGCCATTTTATTTTTTTGAGGGGTTTTATCATGAAGGGATGTTGAATATTATCAAATGCTTTTTCTGAGTCAGTTGAAATGATTATATGGTTTTTGTCCTTCATTATTTTTATATATCACATTGATTAATTTGTGCATGTTGAACTATCCTTACATCCCAGGGAAAAATTCCACTTGGTCATGAAGAATGATCTCTCTAAGGTATTGTTGAATTTAGTTTGCTAATATTTTGTTGAGGATTTTTGCATCAATATTCATCAGAAGTATTGGCCTTTAGTTTTCTTTTTTTTGATGTGTCTTTGTCTGGTTTTGGTATCAGGGTAATACTGGCCTTGTAGGATGAGTTTCTAAGTATCCCCTCCTCCTCTATTTTTTGGAATAGTTTGAGTAGGATTGGTATTAGTTCTTCTTTAAATATTTGATAGAATCCAGCTGTGAAGGCATCAAGTCCAAGCCTGGAACCATGGCCCCAAGTGAGAACATGCATTCCTGTTTTCCCATGTGATGTTGCCTTTTCCAAAACCACTCATGTCCCGCCCCACCCCCAATCTTATGCCCATAAAAACCCCAGGCTCCACTGACAGAGCAGAGAAGAGGAGAAGCAGCTGGACATAAGAGACTACAGTTTGATGTTGGAGAGGGGCAGCTTGACTTCAGAGGGATGGTTTGACCGCATTGCTTCGGACAGGAGTCTGGCCAGGGATGGCCAAACTCTGTGGGAAGATCACCTTCCTGCTCCATTACCTTTCCACTGAGAGCCACTTTCATCAGCAATAAAATCCTCTACATTTACCACCCTTGAATTCATTCATGTGACCTAATTTTTCCTGGATGCCAAACAAGAGCTTGGGTGCCACGGGTGTGGACGCTAAAGGCTGTCACACTGACCCTCTGCCCTCAATGGTGGAGAGCAACCACCTCATGCAAAAAGACAGAGGGTCCACTGAACTGTTTAACACTTAAGCTGTCCAAAAACAGCAAAGCTAAAAGAGCACTGTAACAGATGCCCTCTGGGACTTCAGGGGTCATGGGTACCCGCCTCTAGATGCTGCTGCAGGGCCTGCATGGAGTTTTGCTCCTGCTGTTCCCCAAAAACACTTGCCCAGCTCCCGTACCCACTCACCTGCATGCTCCCTCCTGTGAGGGGTTCAGTGCAATGGATTCCAGTGAGTGGAGTTTGCCCCAACTGGCACCTAAATAGCCAGCTATCCCCAGCACCCTCACTCCAGTTCCCACCTGCGAAGGGGTCAGGGGAAATTTCCCGCTTTATAATGACTTGGAACTGAGGGGCAGGGGCTGAGGATTTTATCCCATGAGTCAAAATCTAGAATGGCCTTGTGAGAGCAATACTCACTTGGGTCAGAGCCTCCCGACCCTAGCTGTGACAAAACTGAAACCAGGGAGAACACATCCTCTCTTGGTGCCCTCTTTTATTTGCTGGCTGTGGATGCTTAAACTTCCCTTTGCTCCCTCTTCTCCTCTCTTTGACACCCTGCCTGAGGGTGGGTCAGGGTCAAAGACAAAGGCATTAACATGAAGACAGATGGAGTAAAGCTCTGACTGAGTAGGGGGCAGGTTTGAGGTGCAAGGGGTCAAGGACTTGATTCCTCTTTGTGGTTGTAATGAATTTACTTCAGTTGGGGTCACCTTGAGGTTTCAGCATTTACAACCAGTGCCTAGCACATAATAGGGGCTCAATAAAATATAGTCGGGGGTGGGGGGTGGGGGGTGGGGGGTGGTTGGGTAGGGGGCTGGGCATGGTGGCTCACACCTGTAATCCCAACAGTTTGGGAGGCCAAGGTGGGTGGATCACAAGGTCAGGAGTTCAAGACCAGCCTGGCCAATATGGTGAAACCCCCTCTCTACTCAAAATACAAAAATTAGCCAGGTATGGTGGTGCACACCTGTAGTCCCAGCTACGTGGGAGGCTGAGGCAGAAGAATCGCTTGAACCCAAGAGGCAGAGGTTGCAGTGAACTGAGATTGTGCCACTGCACTCTAGCCTGGGTGACAGAGAGAGACTGTCTCAAAAAAAAAATATATGTATATATATATAGTCGGTCCTCTGTATCTCTAAGTTCTGCATCTGTGCATTCAACCAATGAAAATTGAAAATATTTTTTATATATGCATTTAGGACAAGCACAGTAGCTCACGCCTGTAATCTCAACACTTCGAGATGCTGAGGCAGGAGGATCGCTTGAGCTTATGAGTTTCAGACCAGCCTGGGCAACATAGCAAGACCCTGTCTCTACTAAAAATTAAATTAAAAAAATCAGCAAGACATGGCGGTGCATGCCTATAGCCCAGCTACTCAGAAGGCAGAGGCAGGAGAATTGCTTGAGCTGGGGAGAATGAGGCTGCAGTGAGCTGCAATCATGTCGCTGCACTCCATCCTGGGTGATGGGGTGAGACCCCGTCTCAAAAAAAAAAAGTGCATTTATACTGAATATGTACAGACTTTGTTTTCTTGTCATTATTCCCTAAACAATACAGCATAACAATATTTACATAGCATTTACTTTGTATTAGGTATTATAAGTAATCTAGTGATGATTTAGAGGATATGGGAGGATGTACATAGGTTATATGCAAATATGGCAGCATCTTATATCAGAGACTTGAGCATCTGGATTTTGTTAGCCACGGGAGGTCCTGGAAGCAATCCCCCATGGATATGAAGGGACAACATATGTGTTGAATGAATTGAAGGAGCTAAAGTTCTGAGCCTGGTAAGATGGTTGCTCCCAGCTCTGTCTTCTGGCTTTTCCTCTCCCTCTGGTGGGCGTATCCAGGCCAGGAGTCCCAAAGCTCTCACTCATCTCCTGAAAATGCCTAGAGCAGTGGGGCTATAGGTGAGGCACGCCAGCTGTCTAGAACATGTCACCCCTTTGCTAACTTGCCAGTTATTTCTGGAGTCCCTTTTTTCTTACTGTGAGAGTAGTCAGATCCAGGGAACCAGGATTTGGGCTTTGGGAGGAAGGGGCTGGAAGAACTGCTTTGCTCCTAGGTCCTAGGCCTGCCTTCAGCCATGTGAAAGGGATCTTCCACTTGGTCCTGTTCAGCTCGCCATGGTCTGCACGGGAGTTCAGGTCAAAGTCTTATCACATGTATTTTCTTGGCTTTGACCTTTGTGCTGTTATTTTTGTTTCTCTCAAGAACCTAAGGAGGGAAGGGGTCCCAGGGAAGGGAAGGAAAAGGAGAGAAGTGTTTGAAATCCTGAGTCCCTGCCATCCCTCCCTCTCTATGTAAATCTCTGCTCCTTTATACTATGACTTGCTTATTCATGGAAATCTGTCTGAGGGAAGGCTGTGGTCAGAAGATGGAAGATAGTCCATCCGCATGCCAGCTTACTGTCCCATTCATTTCAGTTGCGCTGACAGGCAATAAAGAATAGCAGGAGAAGCTAACAGATCATGTGCTTACTCTGTGCTTGACCTGGTCTACGTCTTTCACTTACAGTCTCAGATCCTCGCAGTAACCCCCGAGGTCGATACTGTTATGATTTCTATTTACAGATGAGGAAATGAGGCTCAGCAAGAAGTACCTTGTCCAAAGTCAGAATCTGCCCAAGTTCTAGGAGACAAAGTCCAGCAATCTGACTCTGGAGCCAGTGTTCCTACCCATTATGCTTGTCTCTCTCCTCCTCACGAGCATACTGAGGAAAAGCCAACAGCTGCTTACTGTGGCTCAACCCGACTGCTACACACAAGGAATTTGCTCCTGAGGGTGGAAGGAAGTTCATCTGCCTCGAAGAACACACCCACACGGCAGGGCTGGGATGCCACCATCAGCCTTCCTTTTGACTTAAAGCTTGTCCACGTTGTCATCAAGTGACACACCAAACCACATCAGTCATTTCTTCAGCATGAAAGAATAAATTCGATATTTTCCTGGGTGGATTGTTTATATTTTTGTACTTCTGCCTAGAGAGTTCCCATTTAGGCTTAATCGTTATTTGTCTTCATAGATTTATCCATATCTACGTTTCCCAGTTTGCCAGTTGTTTCTAAAACATTTACTGACCAGTGTAAATAGCAACCTTTTGTAGCATTTATATATCATTTTGGAAACAATCTATTTACCCAATATTTATTTTAATCTAGAAAGTTTTAGCAAGAGAGCTGAAGAAAGTGAACGTGGTAGGACAACTCATAGCCAGAGGGAATAGTATATTTGTTCTCAGTGAAATCATGGTTTGCTGGCACTAAAAATGAGTTTCCAGCCAGAATGATGAGTGGGTCAGCCAAGGGACAAGAATACTATATTTCTTTTCAGTAATTTAATTGGGTGCCCTTGGAAATCACTAGTGTCTGTCTGTGAAGGAGAAAATACATAGAGAAGCTCTGTATTTGTCAGAATTGTAATGAACTTTTAGATTATTTTTTTTTTAAGTCTCTAGAGTATATTCAAGGAAACATTTAAGGAATAACATCCTTATATGCCAAACACATCTTTAGCATATAAAATGACTTTATTTTTCACACAAATTTGGCTTCTCAAAATAACTGGTTTTAACTTTGTTGAACTAGAAAAGGGAGGCTCAAATTTTCTTCACATCTCCCTCCTTGCCTTCCAGACATTTATGAATGTTTTCTGAAACTAATTCGTTCTCAGGTGCTCCATTCAAGATAATTGGGCAATAATACAAGTTACAACTATGTCAAAGGTCACAGCAAACTGGGATCATAAAGAAAATAATTGGTAGGGTGTTTACAAGTTAAATAATGACTTCTGGCTGTATCCATGCTGCTGCAAAAGACATAATTTTTTTCCTTTTTTATGGCTGTGTAGTATTCTATGGTATACACATACAATAGTTTCTTTATATACTCCACCACTGATGGGCACCTAGGTTGGTTCCGTGTCTTTGCAATTGTGAACAGTACTGCAACAAACATATGAGTACACATGTCTTTTTGGTAGAATGATTTATTTTCCTTGGAATACATACCCAGTAATGGGATTTCTGAGTCAAATGGTAGTTCTGTTTTAAGTTCTTTGAGAAATGTCCAAACCGTTTTCCACAGTGGCTGAAGTAATTTACACTCTCACCAACAGTGTATAAAGCTTTCCCTTTTCACTGCAGCCTTTTCAGCATCTGTTGTTTTTGACTTTTTCATAATAACCATTCTGATTGGTGTGAGATGGTATCTCATTGTGGTTTTGATTTGCATAACAAATAACTTTTTACTTTTTAAGTTTAAGTATGCCCTAAATATTGCATAGGACATACTTAATAAGTTAAGTGAACTGTAACTCGATAAATTATTGGTAAGATCAGTGATTTTTATGCTGGAGAAGCACTGGCTTGGAAGAAATTGGAGTTTTGAAACAAAAGAATAAACTCCACAAAGTATGTGGATATGGATGTACATACGTGGGGGCAGGGGGGAATGGTGGGAAAGGCAAAGAAAATTAGTTAATGTTAGAAATCCAGAAATTTATCCAGGATTGATTAACATATTCTCTTAAAAAGAATTTTCATGAGGTTGGTTAACAACAACAAAATCAACAAGTTTGTAAGAACCAATTGCTTAAAGCCTGTACCAACAGGATCTGAGTTTGGTACTGTCTTACTCCATTTTCTGTTTATATCAGAATACCTGAAATGGAGCAATTCATAAGAAATGAAATTTATTTCTTACAGTTCTGGAGGCTGGGAAGTCCAAGGTCAAGGGGGTGCAGCCAATGAGAGCCTTCTCTTCTTGCGGGTAGGGATCTTCTGCAGAATCCAGAGGAGGCACAGGACATCGCATGGCTAGGAGCTGAGCTTGCTAGCTTAGGTTTCTCTTCCTCTGCTTATAAGGCCACTAGTCTCATGCTCATGATAATTACCATTAACCCACTAATTCATTAAGCATGAATAGATTAATGGATTTGTGAATTAATGGGTTATTACGGATTAATCCATTCATGAGGGCAGAGCCTCATGACCCAATTACCTCTTTTTTTTTTTTTTTTTGAGGCAGTGTCTCATTCTGTCGGCTAGAGTGCAGTGGCAAGATCACAGTTCACTGAAGCTCTGACCTCCTTGAGCTCAGGTGATCCTCCCACCTCAGCCTCCCAAATAGCTGAGACCACACGTGTGCACCACCATGCCCAGCTAATTTTTGTATTTTTTGTAGAGATGGGATTTCACCATGTTGCCCATGCTGGTCTCAAACTCCTGGGCTCAAGCGATCTGCCCGCCTCAGCCTCCCAGACTGCTGGGATTATAGGCATGAGCCACCTCGCCTAGCCCCAATCACCTCTTAAAGGCTTCACCTCTCAATACTGCCACATTGGGAATTAAATTTCAACGTGAGTTTTGGAGGGACATTCAAACCATAGCAGGCACGTTACAACTTTTCAGCAGACTGAAATGGTATGGTTCTTGGCTTCTTTTCAAAGTGTAAATCTTCCTTTCAGGCTCTTAATATGTCAGACTCTGCATCTATTCTCTTCTCTCCTAATAGCACTGCCAGGTCTAAGATTCTTTCACTGGTGGGTGGATGGTGCATGCTGGACCAGCTGAAAAGTCGCTGAGTCTACTACTCTACAGAACACAGTCTATGCTTGAAACTACGGGGAAGTGTTCAAAAGAAAACATGTCTGACCTTCAAGAGTTTGTAATCCTATTGGAAAAGTCTAGAGAAAAGATGATAGATAATTGTCAAATTGAGTCACTTCATGGAACACATGTTCTATGAAGGCTCAGTTGGTTTCACCACTGTATCCCCAGTACATAGAAGAGTACCTTGCAAACAGTGGTTGCCCCGTAACATTTGATGAATGAATAAATCAGTGTCGGCTGCATTCACCAAGGCAGGCTTAATAAAGCAGTTTAGACTGAAATGGGACTTAAAGATCTGGCTGAACAGAAAGTGTCATCATCATCATCATCATTGCAGCTGCTATTTACTGTGAAACAGGTTCTGAGCACAGTACTTGATAATAATTATACACATGTTCTAATAGCCCTTAAACATTTAGGTATATCTGGCCCAAAAGCCCATTTTGCTTCTGCAAATCAGCTTTAACATCATCTCAGGGAGACATTCTCTGACCATCCTATCAAAAAGCATTTCTTCTTGCTATTCTCTATCTCAGCCCACTGTGCTTTAATAGTATTTATGACAACTTAGTGTGAGTTTATTAAATGATTTTTGGCTGTCTCTATAGTCCATGAGGGCAAGGGGTATGTCTGTCTTATTACTGCTGTGTCTTCAGCACCCATCTGCCAGCTCATTCCCTGACACTTAGTAGGCATCCTATAAATATTTACTGAACAAATGCATTTGGTTTTTAGGCCTGTCTGCACAGAATCATCTCAGCTTAAACAAAAAAACAGAAAACCAAAAAATATAACCATCAAGCTCTTATCCCAGAGATATTCAAAGGTAGATATTTGAAGCCCACGCATGTTTTTTTCTCTTTTAAAATTCTTTAAGTGAATCTAATACATAGCCAAACACAAGAATTTCAATGAGTGGATGCCACTGTAAGGAAACCATATGGATCCACATTAAAATCTGATGGATACATTTTTTGTCTATGCAATCTTTCAAAGAAAGCTTCATAGAACTTTCTCTAAGAAGCACATTGGCCATGACCTTTGCCTCAATGTAAACTTGTTTCATACCTAATCGTACTCATCCTGTTCTCTCTAACTTTAAAAGTAAGAAAATACCAGCATCAGCAGCAAACACTTGAATTAAAATTTGTTGTCTGTGACCCTTAAACATATGAAGAGATGCTCAACCTCATTCAAAATAAGAGACGTGAAACTACAACTATACTGAGATATCACTTCTTATCCGTCAGATGGCAAAAATTCAAAAGGATGACAACATATTTTATTTGCAGGACTACAGGGAAACAGCTTCTCTAATACATTGCTGATGGGAATGCAAAAATAAACCAAATGAAGGGAAATTTGTTCATTTCTGGCAATATTATATATGTATATACCTTTTGTCGTGGCAATGCTACTTCTAGAAATCTATCCCAAAGGTGCACTGACATAATGGCATACACTCAAGATTTTCACTGTAGTATTATTTATAATAACAAAAGAAAAACACAAATGTCTATAAGTAGAGAATTGGTTGAATAAACTATGGTACAAACATATGATGGTCTAGGCAGCACCCCCCGCCCCCTTACACAAAAATGAGGAAGCCTTCTATCTACTGGTATGGAGTAATCTCTAGAATATATTTTTAAGTGAAGAAAGCAAGGCGCACAACAGTATTTAGAATATGCTATTCTTTGTGTCGAAAATGGAGGGAAATCTGAATATATATATATATATATATAAGCATTTGTCTATATTTTCAAAAATAATAAAAGGATAAGTCAAAAATAAAATATATAAGGGAGCAAAAGGAAAAAAAATTAGACTTTTTAAAAATTATTTTTTATTTAATTAATTATTTTTCTTCAACTTTTAAGTTCCAGGGTTCATGTGCAGAATGTGCAGGTTTATTACATGGGTGAACACGTGCATGTCATGGTGGTTTGCTGCACAGATTAACCCAGCACCCAGGTATTAATCCTAGCATCCATCAGCTATTCTTTCTGAGGCTCTCCCTCCCCCCATCACCCCCAGCAGGCCCCAGTGTGTGTTGCTCCCCTCCATGTGTCCATGTGTTCTTATCATTCAGCTCCCACTTATAAGTGCGGACATGTGGTGTTTGGTTTTCTGTTACTGCATTAGTTTGCTGAGGATAATGGCTTCCAGCTCCATCCATGTTCCTACAAAAGACATGATCTCGTTCCTTTTTATGGCTGCATAGTATTCAATGGTGTATATGTAACACATTTCATTTATCCAGTCTAGCATTGATGGGCATTTGTGTTGATTCCATTGTCTTTACTATTGTGAATAGTGCTGCAATGAACATATGCATGCATGTATCTTTCTAATAGAATGACTTATATTCGTTTGGGTATATACTCAGTAATTTATTTATTTTTTGAAACAAAGTCTCACTCTGTCGCCCAGGCTTGGGTACAGTGGTGCCATCATAGCTCCCTGCAGCCTCAACTTCCCTGGCTCAGGTGATCCTCCCACCCCAGCCTACCCTGGTAGCTGGGACTACAAGTCACACTGCCAAGGCCCGGTATTTTTTTCTAATTTTTGTAGAGACAGGGTCTCACTATGTTGCACAGGCTGGTCTTGAACTCCTGGGCTGAAGTGATCCACTCACCTCGGCCTCCCAGAGTGCTAGGATTATTAGCATGAGCCACCACACCTGGCCATCTTCCCTAAATATACCTCATTTTTAATTTTCATTTGGTGACTAGGTAAATGTTTTATATAATTAAAAAACAAAACTAAGTAAAAAAAAAAGAAGTAACCACCAAGATGAAAAAAAAACACAAACAAAATAACCAGTATATCAGGTTGATGACATAACTACACTGAAAAGAATTATTTCACATTAAAACACTGGATATTAGGGTATATACTAAGCAAAAAGAAGTGAAACATATTCGATAGTCTTATTTTTTCTCAACCTCCAAACATAGCAAAATCAGTAGTCTTATTATTGATGGTTATACTGTTTTATATTTTGGTACTATTTACATAAAATATGTTGTTAGTAACCTATTTTTTTAGCTGCAAACCTGAAATCAAAGATATTAAGTAAAACCTTTATAATCTTAACTTAAATTGGAAATACCAGTATAAGCTTGTGATTTTTTTCCTCTCTAAAAAATACGTATTTCATAGCTCTGCCCACTGAAAAGTTTTAAGAACCATGATAACCCAGTAGCAATTTCCAGATGATGTTCTCTAAATACCATTCGCACTAGAAGGAACCAGGACACCTTGAAGAAATGGCTGACTCCTGGTATGGGGCAGGAGTGTACAAAATGACCCTGGCACATTTTTGTGCTGAAAGCAAGAAAATGCTCACAGTCTGATGGGGTCATGTCAAAAGGACTGGAGCCAATCTGCAGGGACTTCTAACTGGCCATAGATGAGACAAATTAAGCACCAAATTTGATGGAAACTCATTGAACATAGAAAAATCTATGAGTTCAAAATAATGCTGAGTACCGAATAATACTATTTGTGAGTTCAAAATAATACTGAAAAATATACATATCCAAAACAAATTAAAAAAACTGTTCACCATCAGAGGTAGCTAGTGCTCTAACAGCATATTTTGAAAATTGGCCACTAAAAGGAAAGAATTAAACATTTACCTTGCTTGGCACCATTGTAGTTTTATTTGTGGAGCTGCCACACAAATCTGGAACTGCCCAACTTTTAAAATATTTTACATGCAAGAGAAACCCTAGGTGTTCGAGTCTCTTTATTGGGGTTTCTGTTTTACACAGTGGAACCTAATTGTAACTGATACAACATGTAGAAATGGAACTCTATTTTCTTAAGAAATGAGGTTGATTTCTTCACTACCAACTGAAATGAAGGCTGTTGAGACAGAAATAACTTGACAAAGATTTATTGGAAGCCAGATTTGATGATTGACCTGGGAAGACACACCAACAAAGTTGGGTGTATTCCAAAGTCCATTACAAGTTAGAATGTTTTTATCAGAAAGTGTAGAAGGGAGGAAGACTCCTCATTTTGGAGTTGTCCTTTTCATTGCAGGGTACAATGCAGAGATTACAACCGTTGGCTACAGATGACAACATATAGCCTAGAATGTTTTATGCACAAGGTTACCAGTAAAACGGAACGATTCAGAAACAAATTAATGTCCTTTTCAATGTCAGTAGGTTATGTATTAATCAGTATGTCAACACTTTGAGGAAACTCATGATAAGACTTGAGTAACCTACAATAAGATTCTTTAGTGAAGGATAGAATGTAGCCATGAGTCATAAGACCTTCCCTAGGTAATTTGGCAGCCTGCCAAATCCTACTTATTATCCCAAACAGCTAGAATCTCTTCAACTTTTGCTCACTGTATAGTTTCTTGCCTTCTGTCAATCCCCCTTATTGAAATAATAATTATAAATCAGGGGCACATAATTTCAGCTCAGAAAGCAGATTCCTGGTTCACAAGAATTAAGTACAGTTTTCCATGGCAGCCTTTCCATATTGAAAGATATAAACAACATTTTAAGGATGGTGGGGAGGAAAAGAGAAAGATGATGGGAATTTTGTGAAACAGTGACATTTGAGCAAAAATGGATGAAAGACCACACTCTAGTAGGCATGCTATAAAAAGAACGGGGGTATCAACTTCAGATTCATAATCAACTAATACTTAGTCAAGGATGTTCTGGGCCAGGCCTTTTGCTAAAGGATTTCCCATACATTTTCTGATTTAATCACCACTGATTTGATCTCAGGTCTCTATTTTTTGCCATGTGTTTTTTCTTCCTTCATCAAACTTTTATTAATTATAAATGAGATGTTGACATTTTGCCTTTTTTGTTGTTGTCATAGAGATGGGGTTTACACTATGTTGCCCAGGCTGGTCTTAAACTCCTGGGCTCAAGCAATCCTCCCACCTCAGCCACCCAGAGTGCTAGGATTACTGTTCATTTTGCCTTTTTTTTTTTTTTTAATCACCACCCTTCCCTGGAGGTGCTAATTAAAAGTAAAGTAGCCAGAAGCCACATTGGAGAAGCCTGTTGTGGATCCCCAACAATGTCTACGGCCCTGAAAGCTGTGAATACTTTAGGTTACTTGGCACAGGAGAATTAAGGTAGAAAATGGAATTAAGCTTGCTAATCAACTGACTTTGAGAGGGGTAGATGAGCCTGGATTATCCAGGTGGGACCAATGTAATCACAAAAGTCCTTAAATGTGGAAGGGGAGGTAGAAGGAAAGGTCAGCGTGATGTGTTGGGATAAAAACTCCACCAGCAGTCACCGGCTTTGAAGATGGCAGAGGGCCACGTTCCAGGGATGTGCATGGCTTCTGGAAGGAAGAAAGAACAAGAAAACACATTCCTCTCTAGAGCTCCCATAAGAGGTACAGCCCTGCCGACACCTTCATGTTAACCCAGTGAGACCCGTTTCAGACTTCTGGCCTCCAGAACTGTAAGAGAATAAATGTAAATTGTTTTAAGCCAACAAGTTTGTGCTAATGTGTTAGAGTAGTAATAGAAAATTAATGCCTCTGGGTATGGCTACAAATTGAAAGAAAAACACTCCACAGATGATCCAGTAGATTCGATGCCTCACAGGTGTGGACAGCGGAGTTCAATTCAATGGTGGCCTGTTGTACTGAACCCAAAACAATGTAAAGATTTAATGGGGCTGACAACAGCATTGGTGGGAAGCCATTCTTTACAGGGCGTAAAGGTAAGGGATGAGCAGGTCAGAGAAGTCTAAGAAGTTACTGGGGACATCGGGTGCAACTCGCGATTCCTAAAACCAGGACATGCTTTGACAAGGAGTTACTATGGTAGATCAAACTTTGACACTCATGTTCTTTCTATAATCCTAATCCTCCTTCCAATCCATGATCCCAGCCCCTAAATGAAGGTGAAGAATGTTACATTTTTTTTTTTTGTGGGTCAAATGTTCTTTATATAGAACACTTTAAAAAATGAACTTTAAAAAAAGGTTCAACGAGATATGTCTAGGTGTTGATATTTTTCCTATGACTTTTCGTTTGCTGGGTATATGATGGGCTCTTGAATTCTGCACACTGTGGTACATCTTCATACCAGGAAAGTTTTCTCTTATTATTAATTTATTGCTTTTGTTCTGACCTGTGTTTTAGGAATAAATATTATCTTTTTGTTGACTCTCTAGTGTCTGCCCTTTGTATTTATATTTTCGCCTCCCAGCTTTGGAAATGCTTCTTGGGAGGTCTTCTCAAGATATTCTCTGAATCACTGCTTCAATTTTCTTCCATCAATGTGATGACTTAATTGTGTGATTGTATTTATAGTTGTCTTGCAACAACTCCATTATCTCATACAGTTCTTTTGATATCTGATGCCATCTTAGTTCCTTTTTCATGTTTGTTGTCTTCTCCATATTTCATCTTTTATTTCAAAAGATCCACATCTTTCCAAATCTTTGAGAGTGTAGACGTATTGTTCTTTAAAATTAATTAGGTTTCCTGTAGAAGTATTTTCCCAATGTGTGTCCTTAGGTATCAGATTCTCTATTTGTATTTTGTAATGTTTCATAGGCTTCCCTCACCACTTTTTAAATAGTACCTTTGAAAAGGGAGAGCTGTATTCAGCTCTGGTCCATGCCTGTGATCATGGGGAAATGGTCAGTGTTCGAGCCTTCCATTTGCATCCTAGAGAGGACTACTGGAGATGCAAAGCAGCAAGCCCATCATTCTGATAACTTGTTGTTTTTTGCTTATTCATCTTTTCACTGGAAGAGATCAATCCCTGGAACTTTGGAGACTGGGCTTCTGAGCTTCAAAATGAACTTCCCCCCACTCCCTAGAGAAGACAAATTGCTAGCAATCTGCGGTTCAACCCATTTTCACCTCTCCCTCACTTAGAGCCCCTCGGTTATGTCTCTGGGCTTCTCAATCCAGGCTTTGGTACATGGACATTCTTCCTGATATCTAGCAGATGGCCTGAGCAGTATCTCTAGTTTCTAATGCCATTATAACTTTTTCATCTCTTTTATTTGGGTCCATGAGTATTTTAATTAAAAGGGGAGGAAGGGAAATCAATATTGCTTGGCTTCTGCCCTCTTGAAGCTTTGGCTGAGAATCAACAGTTGCTTTTCTGCTGGGCTTTCAGAAATTTCCCCTACTTTCTTACTTGCCTCAACTCCAAGATAGTGAACCATCTGCCCAGTGATCCTGGTTTCCCTTTCCCTTTGAAGTGGCCCCCTCATTCCATAGCACGTGCTTCATAGAAGTTCATAGAAGTTTCACAGGTTGGGCTCGTGCAAAGCTGACTCTGAGATGGAGACTAGGGTTGCCAGGGAGTGCTTAGACTCAACACCTGCGGAAGGGACTACAGGAAGCAAGATTAGGCAGAAGTCAACTGAGATACAGTCCCAAGGAAGGCCTCAGGCAACCCCATAAGGAGCTCTGGGGCTGGGATGGCCATTTAAACGTCCCGAGCTGGACGAGGGGCCAGGACTTTATATCCTCAAGTGATCATTCTTTGGATATGGGTTGCCTTGGAGGCGGCATGACCTTGAGTGAGGCAGTTTAAACAGGGCTGATGCTGAGGATTGTCCTCCAGCAGCACTCCCAGCAGCTGAGAAAATAAATCCTTCATTCCTGAAGGGGGATCGGGGTGATATAGCACAATGTTTACATAAGGCTGTCATTGGCTAAGACAGCCCAATACTTTGGCCTCTGGGATCTTCAGCAACTGAGCTGAAATAACACGGAGTGCCACCACTCATGAAGGTACAAGGGCAAGATTATAAAC
Organism: Homo sapiens; assembly: GCF_000001405.40. NCBI lineage: Eukaryota > Metazoa > Chordata > Mammalia > Primates > Hominidae > Homo > Homo sapiens. Next base: position 87,589,890 of record NC_000010.11, read on the forward strand.
TTCTCATAATAGATTAGAGTAAGATAATAACCACGTGGACTTAAATTAGAACCAGAACTGTTTAGAGTACTTTAGGCTAAAAACATTTTTGATGACAATTGGTGAAGGAATTACAGTCTGCCACTAGATAAATATCCTCCAGCAGGAAGTGGTTAAAGCTAATTAGAAGTCACCTGTTTTGAGAGAATAAGAACTAATACAGTCTCCTGGATTTGCAAGGAGAATTTGTGTTGTCTCAATAATCTCCCTACGTGTTATGCCTTCAGGGTCTGAAAGTGAAATGATCACAAACTGTAAGGGCCTATGAACTAGATTAGTATTTTATTCAACTATGAGTGAATCCTCCATTTATGTACTCTCACTCTGTGATCAGCAAGGCCACAACAAAGGGAAACTATGATTTAGTGCTTGATACAGGCTTCTTTGGACAATTAATGACTAGTGACTGAAACAATTCAAATCAGGGGTTACAAACTCATACACCTGCAGAGGTCAAGGAGCCACATAGGGAGCAGAACAGCCGGTGTCTGCAGTGAACTACAACATGAACACTCTCATTAAGGTGTTTTCCCTCCCCAGCATCAGCTCCCCACTGTGTTGATGTGGGAACACCTGCCTGATCATTGGTTTTGAGGACATGCCACCAAATCATTTTTAAAAATTTTTTTATTATACTCTAAATTCTGGGATACGTGTGCAGAACATTCAGGTGTGTTACATAGGTATACATGTGCCATGGTGGTTTGCTGCACCCATCAACTCGTCATCTACATTAGGTATTTCTCCTAATGCTATCCCTCCCCCAGGCCCCCTCCCCGCAAACAGGCCCTGGTGTGTGATGTTACCCTCCCTGTGTCCACGTCTTCTCATTGTTCAACTCCCATGTATGAGTGAGAACATGTGGTGTTTGGTTTTCTGTTCCTGTGTTAGTTTGCTGAGAATGATGATTTCCAGCTTCATCCATGTCCCTGCAAAGGACATGAACTCATCCTTTTTTATGGTTGTATAGTATTCCATGGTATATATGTGCCACATTTTCTTTATCCAGTCTACCCTTGATGGGTATTTGGGTTGGTTCCAGGTCTTTGCTATTGTGAATAGTGCTGCAATAAACATGTGTGCATGTGCCTTGATAGCATAAATCATTTTTAAGAAAAGCTGGAAATCCAGATTTCTATATGAAATTCACAGATTTTTTTTAGTACAGGAAACTTGTTCAGATTTCAGAAAATGACAATGCTATATGAACCAAACAATAAATTTCTTAAGGTAGTATCAGGCCTGTGGGCTACCAGATTGTGACCTTTGAGTCAAGGTTTCATCAGAAACCTTTTTGGCAAGGTTAGTCAGAGTTAATATATAAACAGAATGATGCTGAAGTTTATTGCAACAGTGGATTGTTTAAATAGACAGCCAACACCAAGAATATCCTCAATATGCATTATAAGGATCATAACTATATATTTCTTTACACTTACCAATAGCCCAGGTCAGTAAAAAACCTTAAGGCTTTAGACTAAAGGCCATTATAAAACATTTAGAGACCAAAAATCTAATGCTGTCTGATCCTCAAAGTCAGTAGTGATATGGACACATACTATTGCATATTACCAGTATCCTCTTTCTATGAGGAATAACACATTCTTGTTTTAGGGAATTACTCTTCCTCCTCCCCATTCATGTAATTCCATTAGGAGCTGCCATGTTTTTACTTTACCTTGATTTCCTGTTCACTATTGGCTGGTCTGGACCTTGGTGCCTGACCCAAAGCACACAGATCAGAACTCCTTGGGAAAGGGAGTCAGTCCCTCTCTGGTGGTAGGAGCTGGCAGCAGCTATGTGCAAGAAATTAGTCTGCAATGAAAGAAAAAAAAAGCTTAGCTCACCTGCAGCTAGTAGAATGGTTATTTCCAAGCCCTTGCTGTATCCCTGCCCTACCTTTGGTGTGACTGTTTATGAAAAGATGCTCAATATCTTAGTCATTAATGAAATACAAATCAAAACCACAATGGGATACCATTCACAAACGTTCAGGTGGCTATAATTTTAAAAAAAAGACTATTGTCTTTTTTTTAAAGAGTTGAGAATATGGAGAAATCAGAACCTACATTGCTTGTGAGGTTGTAGCATGGTTGCAGCCACTTTGGAAAACAGTTTGGAAATTCCTCAAAGCACAGAGTTACCGTATGACACAGCAACTCCACTCATAGGGGTGTGTGTGTGTGTGTGTGTGTGTATATATGTGTGTATATATATGTGTGTATATATATGTGTGTATATATATATGTGTGTATATATATGTGTATGTATATATATGTGTATGTGTATATATGTGTATGTGTATATATGTGTATGTGTATATATATATATATATATATATATATACCCAAGCAAATTGGAAACATGTATATACAAAACTTGTACATGAGTGTTCACAGTAGCAGTACTCATAATAGCCCCAATGTGGAAACAACCCAAACGTTTATCTGCTGGTGAATGGACAAATATAATGCAGTAAATTCATACAATGGAGTATTATTCAGCCATAAAAGGAATAAAGTACTCATACATGTTCTACAATGTAGATCAACCTTGAAAGCATTATCTGCTAGTATCTCTTCAATGTTACCTCTTCACTAGTTTTTCTGTTCTCTGCTTCGGGCACTCTATTAAGTACATAGTAAAGTGTCTGGATGTGTCCTCTTCTCTTTGAACTTTTCATTATTATTTTCATTCTCTTTGTCTTTGAGCTGCATTCTGATTGATAAACTGACCTTCTCATTTACTCATCCACTCTTTGGCAGTAAAGAAGCTGCTATTAAGAGCTATTAAGAGCTCATCTGTTAATTTTAATAGCTGTGTCTTTTCATTTTAACATTTCTAGTTGGTGCTAGTGTCATAATGCATGTTCTGCTTTCAAACTTCCTCTTGTTTCATGGCTTTTATTCTCACCTAAATACTGTTAGGATTTTAAATAAATCCTTACTGGGGAGCTTGCCCTCTAGCCCAGTATTCACAGCTACCAAAAAATAAAAGTTTATGAATGGATTAAATCAAAATAAATATCCCAAAAGCTACATGCTTCTAGGGGAGGGAAAAGCAGAAATGCTCTCCTCTTTTTTTTATTTTATTTTTTTGAGACACGGTCTTGCTGTGTGACCCAGGCTAGAGTACAGTGACGCAATCTCAGCTCACTGCAACCTCCACCTCCCAGGTTCCAGTGATCCTCCTGCCTCAGCCTCCCAAGTAGCTGGGATTAAAACATGTTCACCACCACACCTGGCTAATTATTGTATTTTTGGTAGAGATGGGGTTTCACCATGTTGGCCAGGCTAGTCTCGAGCTCCTGGTCTCATGTGATTCACCTACCTTGGCCTCCCCAAGTGCTGGGATTACAACCGTGAGCCACCATACCCAGCCTGCTATTTTTCTATTTCCATCTTTTCAAAGGATAGCACATGGGGGTGACAGAGCAGTGTCTAAAATGCATTTTACTCAGAAAATATTTGTGAGGAACTATATTCCTCTAGAGAAGAACTAGGAAGTTATTTTCCTTTTTCTCCCTTCAAACTGTGATTTAAAAGCACAAAGGACACATAAACGAAGAACTGTTTGTTGCTCTCAAAAGTTTGTAGATGAAATATTATAACAAAGCAGACTGAGACAAAAACATACGGAACACATTGATCATGACTCTTGGCATCCAGTAGTTTAATCTGAAGCTTAAATCTGTGATGCAAAACCAGTTACCATACATAAGAGAAGACTCTGTCTTTAACAGCTGAAGTCTGAGGTCAATAATCAGAGAGAATTGTACTCTGAATTTGGAAGAGATTTAATTAGCATTTTCCTTTTAATGGTTCTACTTTGCTACCCAAGCCTCACTGGGACAGTTTCTCAAGGCTGCATTGAGGAGCCACAAGTTTTGCTTTATTGTTGCTCAATATGGAATAAAACAAAACATGAAACAACTGGTTCTGATTAGGTGGAATGAACAGTTGGTCCTGCTAATGTGGAAGCATTCCATTACAGGCCAATTTCAGAGAAAAGCAGATGTACTGTTGCTCTGATAATTTCATCATTGCTAATTCTATTTCCCATTTCTCCTTATGCCCCCTGACATGGTATTTTACTCCATAAAGTTTTTCTTATGATTTGCTTTGTTCCTTCTTTCAGAGATGGAACATTTTGGAATAATCATTGACAAATGAGACTTTAATCTGACACTGTTGAAATAGCATGGAGGGGAAATCACAGAACTGTTTAATTCCTAGGACTTTCTTAGCTTTTGGCTGTTTGAGTAACCTACCTCCTGAATTACTTTAAGAGTAATGAGTTTTGCTAGTGATAAATTGGCAGTGTTAACTGACAACCTTAAGTAGTTGTTTTTTGTTTTGTTTTCTTCCTTATGGATCTTTTGGAAGAATTGCTCTGTCAAGATTTCCAGAGAAAACGAACTTAAGAAATAGGGAGCTTGCTTCACTTAATAGCCAGAGGCACCATCAGAATATGTTTGTTCACTGGAAAACCTGTATTGCAAGTAGCTTTTCATTGTGTTTGGGGGAAATTTTTTATGTCAAATAAATATGCAAAAATATTTGCTAAATCCTGTTGAAACCACAATTGAGGTTTCTAGTGATATTTCAAAAATCCATTTTGTTAGAAAATTTCTTGTGCAGTAAAAATGGATATATGTTCAATGTATTTATACTTTTCATCTATTTAAGTGGGCCACTGTACTATCCAACCCACTGGCCTTATACACCAGCTTAGAACACAGCTTTGCAAAGGTTTATTTTAAAGCCTGGGTGAATCAAACATACCCATTACCCAACTTTCCCCTTCTAGTCTGTGAAGTAAACTGCTTCATTGAAACCTGAATGTCTTGAACTGATCCCCTTATTACACATTTGTTCTAAATGGTTAGTCAGTTTTAGAATTTTCCAAGTGATCATAGAAGTACCTCAAGCTTTCTGAGCACTTTGGATGTCTTTTGATTTGGCTCACAAACCTGGGATTACTCTGGTCTTGAATAGAACCACCAGGCTTGCACTAGAAGACTTAAATATTCCATTCAACGTATCAAACATGCACCAGACACTGTGCTAAATAAGAGAGATGGTAGGAACAGTCTCTGCCCAAAGTCCACAATAACCTCTCTCAACACTCTTCTTAAAATAGTCTTCCCCTGGTTTTGGCAACATGACAGACTGGGCTAATTCCAGGCAAAAACAAATATTCTTGTATTACATAAATTTCCCAACTACGTGCAAGTAGAGAGGAGCTGCATTATTTTAAAAACAAATACATAACCTATGGGTTTCCATGAGAATTTCCACAAGCAATTATATATGGACATAGTGTAAGGCATGTAATAAGCATATAATAATAATGATTGAATACTAGTTCAGTGCCTTTTTTGCTTTAGAGGCTAGTCATTAGCTATTGCTGTATAATAAAAACTATCTCAAAACTAAGGGCTAAAACAACGACCATTTATTGTGGATCAAGAGTCTATTAATTAAACAAATGGTTCTAATTGTGGCTGGACTCACTCATATATAAGTGCAGTCAGCTGTAGTATATTTGTAAGCAGTTCTTCTGATTTTGGGGTGGGCTCTCTCACAGGTTTGGGAGTCAGCCAGATGGCTATTCTAGGATGGCCATGGATAGAATTCAGCTCTGCTCCATGTGGTCTCTTGGCCAGCATGGGGTTATTCACATGGCGGTCTCAGGGTTCCAATAGATAGACCAGAAGCAGACAAAGCCTCCCAAAGCCTAAGCTTGGAAATACACATCGTTGCTTCTACAACATCTTGTCCAGAGCAAATCATGAGGCCAACCTATATTCAAGGGAGTGGGGACACAGACTCCACCTCTTCATTGGAGGAGCTACAAAGTCACATTGCAAAGTGCTTGCACACAGGGAAGTTTGTATGATTGGGGCCAGCTTTACAATAAATCTACTATTATGCCTTCAATTAATATGGGAGGATATGTGAAAGTAAGAGTTGATTTATAAGCAGCTAAATAATGATTTTATTTGAGGTTTCCGTTTCCATTAAATTTTAGGTTTAAAGTTTGTTCTTTTATTCTTCAATGGCATGCAGTAGAAATTGTAGCTAACAGGCAAATATATATATATATATATAAAATAGGGATGTGAGATGGCTCAGAGAACCTAAGAATGAGCTTCAGCAAGGACAGGAACTCTGAACCATCCAGAATCTAGACAGCAAGAACTCATAGTCCACTTAGGGTGCTGCCACTGAGATTCAGATTTCCTGGAGAGAGAGTCCAGTTGGCCTCTGAGTTAGGTGCCCTGATTTCGACAAGGGAGGACTATGCGCCTTGACTCTAAAGTCTCCCTAAGACTACATGCAAAGCAGCTGAACAGTTCTTGAAAGTAAAATGAAATGCACTGCCAGATGAAGACAATTCAGGACAGTCAAATACAACAATGTGCTCTACAAAATTTAAACAGCTTAATCTTAGAAAAATAAGATAAATCAATCAATGGCTCAAGTCCCCCAGTGGTGTGGGCATGGAGGCCCCAACTGCCATTTCCCTCCTTACACCCCTCCCAATGGGTGACAGTTGGAAAGTAACTAGAGGCAAAGGATACGGATTATGCAAAGAAGGAAGGTAAATTAGATGGGGCTTTCCTCTACCAGTCAGTAGCAGAGACCATTTACTTCCTTAATTTAATTCTTTGTTTGCCCTGGCCTAGTCAAGGCATGCTTATAGAGAGCAGTCTTTGCTCTGCTTCAAAGATCAATGCAATTGTAATACCAAAGACAGTGGGAATGTTTCTTAACAGTTGTATAAGTTAAAAATGCTTCTGGCTGCTGGTGGCTTTACCCATAGGACAGTTAGTGTTACTAAGCAGGAATTCCCTAAGCAGTGGTCCCAGGGTGAGCCCAGCAGCTAACCAAAGTCCTCAAGGACCCCAGCTTCTCCTTTCTGTCCACTCCACTATCTCAGTGTGGCAGGAGTGTCTACCCTCATGGCTACAAGATGGCTGCTGCTGCTCCCAGCATTATGTCCTCACAGAACGGCTTTTCTAGCAGAAAGGAGAGAAAAGGGAACAAAAAAAAGTGTTTGCTTTTCTTGCCTTTCTATGGCTACCACCCTTCAGAAGACTTTCCATTATATCTTATTAGCCAGAACATGAGCATCTTACCCCCATCCCTGTAGAAGGGAAACGAGACTGCCATATGGGCTTATACCAATTTTAGTTCATCCTCTCATGCTGGGCACATTGCTACTTATGTCTACGTCCTTGGCACTTCACTCACGTTGGCCTTGTCTCTAATTCCAGCCCCAGCTGGAGTCAGGGTTGGCTTCTTGGGGAATGGGGCCTGTGAAGTTTCACAGGGCCTCTCATTTAGAAGGGCTCTGGGCTTGGTTTAATGTTCTGCTCATGCCGCTTAGAAATTAATTTTTTTTTTAACAAAGAGCCCTAACTTTTCATTGTGCCCTGGGTCCTGGAAATTATCTAGCCAGTCCTGGTTTGGGAGGACAGTCTCATGTGGGCTTTGTCTCACTTCTCCATGGTAGCCTTTTGCTTTAAGCCTCTTGCTTTCTCTCCTGGGCTTCCCAGAAGCTACAGGCACCACTGGGCACTCAATCAGCTGGTAGACATAGACAGTTTGGAAGGGAAACTTTGACCAGTCAAGATGGGAACTGATGGAGGAGTACTCCTGGGGCCCATCCTTCAAGGGCATGCCACATGATTCTTGGAAGGTCCTGGTGGTATTGAGCTCCAGTGTCCACAGCCGTGACCTTGATAACACACCCTTCTGTTGGCTTTTCTTCCTTCTCTGACCTGTCTCCCTAGTCCCTCATTTCTGGTCCCTGGATCATCTTTCAAATAAACACCCACATACTTGCCTTGCCTCAGACTTTGCCTTCAGGGGAAGCAAGTCTCAAACGCCATCCAAATGAAACCAGTGTTTCTTCCGAGAAGAAAGGTGTATGAATATTTGCCCGTTGGATAAGCCACATCAACAGTGTCAGCCATAGTGCTTGTGGGTTCATAAAGAAGCCATCCCAGATCCTGTTTCCCTGACTCCCAAAACAGAAATCTAACATACATACTGTATACCAAACACAGTGGTTATTTTCAGGTATATTTTCTTATTTCACATGTACAACAGCCACTTGCAGTAGTTACTATTATCTCCATGTTACTGATGAGAATACCAGGGATCAGAGAAGTTGAGTGACTTCCCCAAAACCAGGAAGTGGAAGACTAGGAATTTAAACACAGTTATTTGGGTATTCTTTCCACAACATCACCCTTCTGAAAGGAAATACATTTGATCTATAGGCCAACTAGCTGGCACTTTGGGGAGGTGGGTGCAGCTTGGCTTTGGGCTTTGTGGCTTCTCAAAAAATATAAGCACTTCCTAAGCAGAAAAAGCAGACTGGGCATGGTGGCTCATGCTTGTAACACCAGCATTTTGGGAGGCTAAGGCGGGCAGATGGCTTGAGTCCATAAGTTTGAGACCAGTCTGGGCAACATCATGGTGAAACCCCATCTCTACAAAAAAAAAAATTGAAAAATTAGCCAATTGTGGTGGCCATGTGCCGCTAGTCCCAGCTACTTGGGAGGCTCAGGTAGGAGGATCACTTGAGCCTGGGAAGTTGAGGCTGCAGTGAGCCATGATTGTGCCATTACACTACAGCCTGGGCAATACAGTGAGAACCTGTCTCAAAAAAAGAACATCTAGAGATCAGGTAGGTATGCCAGCAAAACTTTCCTCTCGGCTTTTGGTCCCTGTATTGCAGTTTTCACAGTAGGGTTTCAGGAGCAGAGGGTTGTGGCTAGCACAGTTCTCATGTGTTTTCTTTAAACCAGTAGCAACCTGGCAACTACATTTTCCAAGCCTGGCTAGACAGATCATTCTATTCTGCTTTGCTGCATTCAAGGGAGTATCCTGCCCCTTCAGACTCGGGGCTGTGTAGCAGACTACATTTACAGAGTGTTCTGGATAATGAGGTCAGGCAAACATTTGAAGAAGCAGATCGCAGACTACAGGGACACTACTGTTTTTTTCCAGGACAAGCTGGGAAAAGAAATTGGACGCTAGTCCAGACGACGTCGCAGTATTAGCCGAATTGGTAAAGGGTGCCAATGCCTCACTGGCAGTCGGGGACATGACTGAAGAAAGAACTGTAACATTATTCTTAAAAGGTGGTATTTTTAGCACATAGATATACTAAGGTATAACCCTCTTCTGTGGAGCAACACAGAATGGAAATTTGCTCGGTATCAAATTGCTACCACATGATGAAGAATTAAAGTGAGTTAAAAATCTATAAATTATATATATAACTTTAGAGAATTTTCCAGTAAGTGCCCTCAGATTTATTTTTATTTTCTTTTTTAGAGAGAAAGTCTTAGGTCTGTCACCCGCAGTGGAGTACAAGGGTGTGATCATGGCTCACTGCAGCCTCCAACTCCTGGGCTGAAGTGATTCTTCCACCTCAGCCTTCTGAGTAGCTGGGACTACAGGCATATGCCACCACACCCAGCTATTCTTTATTTTAATCATGTACACAAATTACCTTAGTATTCTTTTTTTCAGATAGAGTCTCACTCCTGTTTCTCAGGGTTGGAGTGCAGTGGTGCAATCCCGGCTCACTGCAGCCTCAACTTCCTGGGCTCAGGTGATTTTCCCACCTGAGCCTCCTAAGTAGCTGAGACTACAGGCACGTGCCACCATGCGTGGCTAACTTTCTGTATTTTTTGCAGACATAGGGTTTCACCCTGTTTCCCAGGCTGGTCTCAAACTCATGGACTCACTTCCTATCTGCTTGCCTTGGCCTCCCAAAGTGCTAAGATTACAGGCATGAGCTACCAGGCCTGAACTCCATGCCTCGTGTCAGTATATATATATATATATATATATATATATTTTTTTTTTTAGCAGGGTCTCACTCTGTTGCTCAAGCTGGAGGGCAGTGGTTTGGTCATGCTCACTGTAGCCTTGACCTCCTGGGCTCAAGCAATCCTTTTGGCTCAACCTCCTGAGTAGCTGGGACTATAAGGAGTGCACCACCAAATCCAGCTAATTTCTTATTTTTTGTAGAGGGGATATCTTGCTATGTTGCCCAGGCTGCTGTTGAATTCCTGGGCTCAAATGATCCTCCTGCCTCAGCCTCCCAAAGTGCTGGGATTACAGGCATGACGCACCACGCCTGGCCTCAGTATTCTTAATATAAGATAAAATCTGGGATATCCCCACCTCTTGCTGATTTTCTTACATTAATTTCCCTAAGTTTCTTCCCTGACTGTCATGTAAAGATACCTAACAAGAAATGGTCTGAAACTTTTGTTGGTTGCATCCCCCATCAATGAAAACTTTGCACATAGATCTCCAATATATATTTATATATTTACAAATTATCTGTCTGTACTACTATATTAATATTTATGCACAATAAAAAGCCAGAATTAAATTTCAAAGGATAAGATAAAGATTAAACTATCTTAAAATGACATAAAAACTAGTAAGAGTGCAAAAGCAACTGCTTTTGCTAAAGAGTAATTTGATTAAATGCACTTCTCTCTTTAAAAAAAAACCATGATTCATCACTGTGATACATTGATACTGGTCCAAAATTTTGGACCAGTTCATTTTATTGCAATATTCTTAAAACATTTTTTAATTGAGGCTTCATTTCAGGGTCTTTTTTAGCATATTCACAAAGTTATGTAAACACCACACTATAATTTTATAATATTTTCATCACCCCAAAAAGAAACCCATATTCATTAACAGTCACTGTTATTCCTCTCTACCCCTACCCCCTGGCAACTACGTATCTATTTTCTGTATCTGTGGGTTTGCCTATGGTGGACATTTCTCATAAATCATGCAATATGTGGCTTTTTGTGCCTGGCTTCCTTCATGTAACAATGTTTTTGAGATTCATCCATGTTGTGGCATATATCAGTACTTTATTTCTTTTTATGGTCAACTACTATTCCACTGTGTGGACAGACCACAAGTTCCTTATCTCTTCATTAGTTAATGGACATTTAGGTTGTTTCTACTTTTTAGCTATTGTGAATAATGCTGCTGTGAACACTTATGTACAATTATTGTGTGGACATTTGTTTTGATTTCTCTTGAGTATATACCTAGGAAGGGAATTGCTGGGTCATATGCTAACTCTATGTTTAGCCATTTAAGGAACTGCCAGACTGTTTTAGAAAGTGGCTGCACCATTTTACAATTCCAACAGCAATAGATGAGGGTTCTAATTTCTCCATATCCTTGCCATTACTTGTCATTGTCTGTCTGTTTGATTATAGATATCTTAGTGGATATGAGTGGTATCTCATTGTGGCTTGATTTATATTTCCCTAATTACTTATGATGTTGGACATCTTTTCACAGGCTTATTGAACATTCATGTATCTTCTTGGAGAAATATCTATTCAAATTCTTTGTCTATTTTTAAATTGTTATTTGTCTTTAAATTATTGAGTAGTATGAGTTCTTTATGTATTCTGGCTTCTAGACCTTATCAGATATATGATTTATAAACATTTTTCCCATTCTGTGGGTTATTTTCACTTTCTTGATAGTGACCTTTGAAGCACAAAAGTTTTCATTTTGATGAAGTCCAATATACCTATTTTTCTTTGGTTGCTTGTGCTACTGGTATCATATCTAAAAAAACAGTGCCTAATTCAAAGTCAGGAAGATTCATATCTATACTTTCTCTTAAGAGTTTTATAGCTTTAGCTCTTACATTTAGATCCCTATCTATTTTGAGTTAATTTTTGTAATGTGGTATGTAGCAGGGGTTCAAATTTATTATGAGTGTGGATTGCCAGTTGTCCTGGCACATTTGTTGAAAATACTATTCTTTCCCCATTGAATTTTTATAATACCCTTGCCAAAAATCAACTGACAATAAATACACGTGTTTCTTTTTGGACTTTCACTTTCATTCCATGGGTCTATAGGTCCTAATACTTGGTTTTTAATGTATGTCACAGCTGAAAAGATAACTTAAAAGATTCATAGATCATATACAAAAATGAATCATTGTCTATCTTTACTAATCATTTTCTGTCACTTCCATCAATTCTGGAAATGTTTGGCTGGAGATCTGGCTGGCGAGTTTCCACCTTCTATGTTGTCTGAGTTGTTCTTGCAAACCAATAGTATAAGGTATTGCATTTTTTTCTTTGTAACATATATACTAAACCCGGTAAAGCTTTTCCTTTAGAAGATTTTTGAAACAAGTTAGCAAATTCTTTTTTTTTTTCCCCCAGTTTTCAAAAGTGCAACTATGAGAGTTTTTAAAAGGTGTTACATGTTTGTAATTTTAACAAAAAAGACTACAGGACAATGAAAACATTTCCAAACATTAATTTACAAAATAATCTTTTCATAGCTCAAGTTTGTGTGTTGTTTAAAGAGGACTTAATTTTTTCTGAAAAGCTTGTACTAGGAAGTATTAGAAGTGTCAGCTCGCCGGGCGGGGTGGCTCACGCCTGTAATTCCAGCACTTTGCGAGGCCGAGATGGGCGGATCACGAGGTCAGGAGATCCAGACCATCCTGGCTAATACGGTGAAACCCCATCTCTACTAAAAATACAAAAAATTAGCCGGGCGTGTTGTCGGGCGCCTGTAGTCCCCGCTACTTGGGAGGCTGAGGCAGGAGAATGGCGTGAACCCGGGAGGCGAAGCTTGCAGTGAGCCGAGATTGAGCCACTGCACTCTAGCCTGGGTGACAGAGCGAGACTCCGTCTCAAAAAAAAGAAGTGTCAGCTCTTCAGTTTTATTGGTTGTGATGGCTAATACTGAGTGTCAACTTGATTGGATTGAAGGATGCAAAGTGTTGATTCTAGGTGTGTCTGTGAGGGTGTTGCCAAAGGACATTAACATCTGAGTCAGTGGGCTGGGGAAGGCAGACCCAACCTTAATTTGGGTGGGCATCATCTAATCAGCTGCCAGGGCAGCTAGAATATAAGGCAGGCAGAAAAACATGAAAAGACTAGACTGGCCTACCTTCCCAGCCTACATCTTTCTTTTGTGTTGGATGCTACCTGCCCTTGAACACTGGACTCCAAGTTCTTCAGTTTTGGGACTTGGACTGGCTTTGCTTGCTCCTCAGCTTGCAGATGTCTTATTGTGGGACCTTGTGATCATGTGAGTTAATACTTAATAAACTCCCCTTTATCATTTTGGTGGTTATTCTTGGAATTTAACATATAGACTTAAAGTATAAATTTGGTGAATACATTTCACTTTTTAAAAGTACTTTGCCTGGTGCAGTGGTTCACACCTGTAATCCCAGCACTTTGAGAGGATCAGCTAGGAGGATGGCTTGAGCCCAGGAGTTTGAGAACAGCCTGGGCAACACGACAACACCAATCTTTACAAAATGTTTAAAAATTCACTGGGTGTGGTGGCAGGCAACTGTAGTCACAGCTACTCTGGAGGCTGAACTGAGAGAATCACTGGAGCCCAGGAATTCAAGGCTACAGTGAGCCATGATCATGACACTGCACTCTAGCCTGGGGAACAGAGCAAGACTCTGACTCAAACAAACAAAAAACAAACAAACAAAAAAAACCTTAGAATGCCTGACTCTCAAAACAGCCACCTCTAGGGTATATACTATTATTGTCCAGCCTTTTATTTCTTTCTTACTCTTTTTACCCCTAAAATGAAACATTAATTTATATTTACCATGGGCAATGTTTATGTTATGAACATTTTTCCCATCTACATATATTACTGCTGCTTGGGATTTATTCGGCCTTCTAAACCTGAATCATTCATTAGTCCTGACAAACTTTCAGCCTTTATCTCTTTGAATATTTTGTGTCACTCATTCTCTCCTTTATTTCACTCTAGAAATCTGATAAAACATAAATTGGCCCTTCTCCTGCTACCCTCCCCATCTCACTGTTTTTTTTCTGTGTTATCTCATTGTCTCTCTGGGCTGCGTTCTGAGTACTTTTTTCAGATTAGTCTTCTAGCTCACCATTTCTTCACCAGGGAGAGACTGAATGTACAAAGGCCAATGGCCAGACCACACAAAATAGGATTCTGATCCACACGAGAAGCCCCAGCAGCCAAACCACAATCTCTGTAGCAATCTGTCCAGAACAGGCAAGACTTAATCAGTGATGGCCAACTTTACTTTTTTATTTTTTATTTTTTTGTGTTTTGTTTTTTAAGACGGTCTTGCTATGTTGCCCGACCTGGTCATGAACTCCTGGGTTCAAGCAATCCTCTTGCCTCAGACTCCCAAAGTGCTGGGATAACAGGTTTGAGCTACCATGATCAGACCCAATTTTCCTATTTTTTTGCTCTGGTCTCCAACTGATTAACCAGAGAAGTCCAGACATCCGCTCCAAACCCATCACATGAAATGCTCACTTCTAGTTAGCCCACCTCTAACTGCCCCAACACCAAAGCCTCCAATCAGAGGACACCCGCAGCCTTCACTTTTTGTCAGTGGAAAGCATTCCCACTCCCCTGCCTGCCTTAGACTTTGCTTACCAAACTCAAGTAGTGGTGGCTGACTCCTTTGTTCTATAGCGAGCTCCAAATACCTGGGCTCTGTTTTCATTTGGGTGGTCTCTGTTTCAGTACCAATTAGGGCTATTCTGATCTTTGATGCTTCTATTCCTTTTTTTAGGTCAACCTCTGTATTTTTCAGTTTTAGAAGTTCCATTTGATTCTTTTTCGAAACTGATCATTTGTATAACTTCTTATTCTTTTGTCATCACTTCTATTTCTGCTAGGATATTAAATGTTTTATCCAGTGATTCTAATACGTGAAGTCCTTATGGGGGTGTTTTTATCATTTGTTCTTTCTACTGTCTCTCATTTATGGTAGCTGATTTTCTTGAATGTTTCTTGATTATTTTTTTCAAAGTTGTGAGCCCAGATATGTTGTGCTTTCTCTGGGAGTTGCCTGAGGCCTCGTCTGAGGGCACATTGTCTAGGAAATATTTGCATTTGTTTCTCCCGGGCACCTGCGGGCATAAAAGTTGCTTTAGATGAAGTTTTCCTTGGGAGTTTTTTAATCTACATTGTAAAATGTGCATCTACCACTCTTTGGAGGACAGCACATGCAAGTGAGATCTTATGTCATTGTCTTGGTACAAATTTAAGAATCAAGTGTATTAATAATAACGATGGGTTCCAACTGAGTATGTAGATAGACATTGACTATTAGATCCTTCTGAATTCCTAAATAAGAACTTTTAAAAAATACCCTTAATATAAAATAAGTGATTCAAATATAAGAAAAATACGTTTTAACAAACACTATAGTACTTATTGTCCTTCTTTTGCATACAGAAAGCTAATCTAAGTGACTCCATATTCTTCCCTAATTGTAAAACTACTTTTAAAAAAGACATGGATTGCAGAAATCATGAGTTGAGCTCCAAGAATTTGGACTGTGTGCTGCCTCTTCCAAAACAATTCTTTAAACTGTATCACAGATTTCCTGTGTTATCTCAGAATCCATAGTTCTTATAGAAATGCCAGTGACTAGGTCTAAATGGTGTCTGTATTGACCTTGCCTTTTTCTTATTCTTGCCAGTATTCTGTATTTCAGAGCTCCAGTTCATTCATGACCCTAGTTATTACGCTGGATTAGGCTTCCCAGGAATATAAAAATGAGTAAGGCAGGAACTCACAATCTAGTGAAGAGTAAATAAACAACCGTGAAGGAAAACAGACTTTAACAAGTATTATAGCCCAGCAACAAAGTTGTATGAAGCATAAAGAGAGGAGGAATCATTTAAACTGAGGGTCCCGGAAAGGATCATTTCTCACCCAGCTAGAAAGCTCAGAAGAATTTGACAGGGGCTGGCTTTCCTGACAAAGATGTGGTTTCTTTATTGATCAGGCCTACAAAAGAGTTCTGCCTGTGAGCTGAGAAGTAGTTAGGAATTCAAGAGGCTTTTCACCCACTGGGTGAGTGGGACCTGAGCCAGGAAACATTTGGCTGGATTCAATTGGCTAAATAGAAGTTTCCAGAACTGAGAAAATTCCAAGATTTACTCTTAAGCTCTATTCCTATTGTTTCACAGGACATGAAATTACATACCTGCCCATGTTTTGTACACAGATAACCGTTCCTTCCTGTAGTATAATATCACTCAACGCAATGGATCTAACCATGTGTTACCACTGGGGCCTCCTGCTGAGGAGAGCAAGAAGTCAGCAAAACAGAGAATAAAGGGCATTGTTACTTCCTGCCCCTTCCCTTTCCTCTCCCTACAAGTCTTGGCTGGCAGCAATAGGAGAGACAGTAGAAGCAGATACCTGAGCGTGGCATTTGGCATGAGATTACTGTGCTTTTGAGGAGAGAAGGATAGTAACTAAGAAATATCTACATTTGAATTTTAATACAGGAGAGTCTGAGAAGAAGGGCTTTTTTGGAAGGAGGGTTGCCAGGCCTGGAACAAGCACATGCCTAGAGGAAAATCCCATACTACATACAAGGAGGAAGCCCAGGCCAGCAGGTAAGCGCAGGAGAAGGCAAATGGACAAAACTTGAGTCCCTGAAAAATTGAAGATAGAAAGAATGAGCCCCCTGAGTTCTAAATGGGCTGATACATCAGCTGATGTCCCTGAAGCAGGAATAGAGGTATGGGTGGGACAACAACAGGAGAGAGTGAGTGGGGAACTACATAGGGTGCCTTGCCTGAAAATGGGGACAAGGCCATGATGTGATCATAGGCAATAAGCCAGGAGCCCAGTTACCAAGACAGGCATGAATGGCTGGAGATGGTGGGACTGGCTTAGGGCTCTTGAATATCCTGTAGTCACTAACTTTTTTTTCATTCTTGCTTGCTTGCTTTTTTTTTTTTTTTTTTTTTTGGAGACAGAGTCTTGCTGTGTCACACAGGCTAGAGTACACTGGTTATCACAGCTCACTGCAACCTGGACCTCCTGGGCTCAAGTGATACTCCCACCTCAGCCTCCTGAGTAACTGGGACTACAGGCACATATCAGCATACCCAGCCAATTTTTAAATTTTTTGTAGAGACGAGGTCTTCCTATGTTGCTTAGGCTGGTCTTGATCTTCTGGGCTCAAGTGATTCTCTTGCTTTGGCCTCCCAAAGTGCTGGGATTACAGGCATGAGCCACCATGCCCGGCCTGTAGTCATGATTTTGGGTAAAGCTGAACCCCCAGTAGCAGACTTACTTAGAGGGACAAAGTAGCCCAAGGAGAAGATCCCAGGATAAGAGCAAGGGCTTTGGCATTCGACCTGGCTGTGAATTCTGTGCCACTTGCTGGATTGACAATGATAGGAGTGTTGTCTTCCCTCTGAGAACATAAGGCCCATGAAACTCAATATATAGCCCTGACAGTTTTACCTGCAGTGAATTTTGAAACACATTTCTTGGGGTGTTTTAAGCTGACCTTGCCATCAAGCTAGTGCTCTCATCTGGTCCTTATGTTCCCAAAGAGAGAAGGCAACACTCCCATCATTGTCACATGAGGGAACATAGTTTTATCATCTGTAAAATGAGGATGATTATACTTACTTCATAAAGCTCTTCTAAGAATTACATGAAATAATGTTTTTGAAGCATTTAGTGCATTGCCTGTACACAGCAGGCACTCAGTTGTAATTACTATCATCAATATTACAAGGAAAGGCTGACAAAGAATCAAAGTGTGCTGAAAGTGTTCTACACTCTAAAGGATAACCCCTCTAGGTTGTATGATTCGGAATGTATGGGAGCAATTTTAACAACTTTGTAATTTGTAGATAATTGATAACAATGTAATATAATTCCTGTCTGTAGACACAGATTCTGTCTTGTCTGGTAGAGGTTCAATTGACTTCTCTTTATTTTATTTTTTTCTTTCCAACTTTTATTTTCGGTTCGGTGGGTACATGTGCAGGTTTGTGACATAGGTAAATTTTGTGTCAACGGGTTTGGTGTGATTATTTCATCACCCAGGTAATAAGCATAGTACCTGATAGGTAGTTTTTCAATCTTCTCCTTCCTCTCACCCAACTTTTCTTTCTTACTCCTGGAAAAAGCCGTTTTGCCTCAACTTGCGCACTCATTTCAACATTTCTCATCTATAAGCAAGGACACCTCTGGAAGACGCAAGGCCTGGTAAATATTTTTGATATAAACTATTTGATGTACACTTTAAATGGATGAATTGTATGCTATCTGAATTATACTTCAGTGAGGCTGTTAAAAACACTTGTGGTTTTTTTGTTTGTCTTTTTAGTTCCCCAGTACTATTCTAGCAATCCTGGGTCCCTTCTGGCATGACTTCATGAAAGAACCCAGGCAGGAGCAATTCAGGCCACCTCTCTGAAATTGGGCCCAGGCCACAGGCCCCTAGGAAAGCTTCATAGGTTAAGCCCCAGAGCTCCTGGGGCATCTGGTTGACCTCACACATATGGGGCAGAGGGCTGGAGAGCCAGAGATCATTCCACAGAGGAGAAAATGGAGATGTGGCCAAGTGGGTCCCGGTCTGAATTGCAGACTGACAGGGACTTAGAAAATTTCAAGGATCAGTTGGATAAATTGAATATGTTAGGGAAAAAAAAGAAAAAAAGAATTTCAAGAAAGGTGCTTCAAAGTGGAGGGGGTGGGGAGGCTGGAGAGGAAAGGCTGGGACAGTGGCCCCTCATGCCCTGCTGTAAGGGCAGGTATCACTACAAATAAAATGTTTCTTCAAAAATCCTTGCCATTAGTGTTCATTGAACTCTAATAATGTCATTCCTCTCCTGTGGAATGTCTATAAATGCACACTTATTGAACTGGGAAACTGAGTACAGCAGAAATAGAAAGAGATTTTAAATCTAGGCTATAAAATCTTCATATACCCTGATCCTTTGAGTTGTTAACCTCTAGACAACTTTCGCACTCACATTTGTATGCTCTAAGGCCTTCCACATCTGCAAATCCTTTTTCTAGGGTCTTTTACACATGAAACAGATCAAATTTCCCTAGAAGATATGCTTCCTTGCTTGCTTTATTTCCATTTCCAGGAAGTGTTTTACATCTGCATTGCAAAATAGCAGCCGCTGCTTCTTCTCACCTACCAGCCCAGCGTGAATGTGATTTTCCTGACAAACAGTTTGGATTGCTTCCAACCCCTCAGGCTCTGTTCACCAGACTCTATGGAAATTATTTCCCTTTCCAGACAAGGTTGTCTTCTCCAGTACAAAATGGATTTTGTACTCTTTTGCCCTAACTCAAACTGCCTTTCCCTAACGATTCTCTAGAGGTCCAATTCTTCCAGTGAAGAAACTGAGTAAATCATTTCTGACCTGCCACACTCATCTGCTCCCCACATTCACACTGGGTTGCCGGCCTCCATACCTTTGATAATGTCCTTGCCTGCACCAGAGTTACCCTCTTCAGCACTCTCCTTCCCCCGTATCACCACCACAGATGAGAGCACCAGCTTGATGGCAAGGTCAGCTTAAAACACTCCAAGAAATGTGTTTCAAAACTCACTGCAGGTAAAAGTGTCAGGGCCACATACTGAGTTTCATGGGCCTTATGTACTTTGCCTTTGTGGGCCCCTGCACTCCATCATCCATTTTCATGGGCTCTAAATGTTTTATTTTCTTCTGGTGTGAAGAAAAAAAAAACATTTTCTTTAACCCTAAGTTCACTTTTTTTCTTTTGATTTTAAAAGAAATTAAAACATTTTGGTGGGCCCCTAAAAGTATTGTGGAGTTCTAGGCCAGGGGTCCTCAACCCCCAGGCCCAGTATCAGCCTATTAGGAACTGGGCCACACAGCAAGAGGTGAGCAGTGGGTGAGTGAGCGAAGCTTCATCTGTATTTACAGCTGCTCCCCATCGCTCGCATTACCACCTGAGCTCTACCTCCTGTCAGATCAGGGGTGGCATTAGATTCTCATAGGAGCACAAACCCTATTGTGAACTGCACATGTGAGGGATCTATGTTGTGTGCTCCTTAAGAGAATCTGATGCCTGATGATCTGTCACTATCTCCCATCACCTCCAGAAGGGACTGCCTAGTTGTAGGAAAACAAGCTCAGGGCTCCCACTGATTCTACATTACCATGAGTTGTATAATTTTATTATATATTACAATGTAACAGAAATAAAGTGTACAACAAATGTAATGCATTTGAATCATCCCAAAACCATCCCCCACCCTGGTCCATGGAAAAATTGTTCTCCATGAAACCAGTCCCTGGTGCCAAAAGGTTGAGGACCACTGTTCTAGGCATTGTGCCTAATGAACAGTCAGATCTAAGACTGTATCTTATGTAATATGAAAAAGGTAGTTCGGCCTGGCCACAGTGGCTCACGCCTGTAATCCCAATACTTTGGGAGGCAGAGGCAGGCAGATCACCTGAGGTCAGGAGTTCAAGAGCAGCCTGGCCAACATGGTGAAACCCCATCTCTACTAAAAATACAAAAATTAGCCAGGCCTGGTGGTGCATGCCTGTAATCCCAGCTACTTGGGAGGCTGAGGCAGTAGAATCACTTGAACCAAGGAGGTGGAGGTTGCAGTGAGCCAAGATCGTGCCACTGCACTCCAACCTGGGTGACAGAGCAAGACTCCACCTGAAAAAAAAAAAAAAAGAAAAAGGTAGTTTGGTATATGATATGGTTTGGCTGTGTCCCCACCAAAATCTCATCTTGAATTGTAGCTCCCATAATTTCCACATGTTGTGGGAGATAAGTGAATCATGGGGACGGTTTTCCCCATACTGTTCTCATGGTAGTGAATAAGTCTCACAAGAGCTGATGGTTTATAAGCGGAAACCCCTTTCACTTGATTCTTATTCTCTGTTTGTCTGCCGCCCTGTAAGATGCCCCTTAGCTCTTCCTTCATCTTCTGCTATGATTGTGAGGCCTCCCCAGCCACATGAAACTGTGAGTCCATTAAACCTCTTTTTCTTTATAAATTACCCAGTCTTGGGTGTATCTTTATCAGCAGCATGAAAACAGACTAATACAGTAAATTGGTACCACTAGGGTGGGGTGCTGCTGTAAAGATAACTAAAAACGTGGAGGCAAATTTGGAACTGGGTAACAGGCAGAGGTTGGAAGAGTTTGGAGGGTTCAGAAGAAGACAGGAAAATGTGGGAAAGTTTGGAACTTCCTAGAGACTTGTTGAATGGTTTTAAACAAAATACTGCCAATGATATGGACAATGAAATCTAGGCTGAGGTGGTCTCAGATGGAGATGAGGAACTTGTTGGGAACTGGAGTAAATGTCACTCTTGCTATGTTTTAGCAAAGAGACTGGCAGCATTTTGCCCCTGTCCTAGAGATTTTTGGAATTTTGAACTTGAGGGAGATGATTTAAGGTATATGGTGGAAGAAATTTCTCAGCAGCAAAGCATTCAAGAGGTGCCTTGGGTGCTGTTTAAAGCATTCAGTTTTAAAAGTGAAACAAAGCATAAAAGTTTAGAAAAATTGTAGCCTGACAATGTGACAGAAAAGAAAAACCCATTTTCTAAGGAGAAATTAAAGCTGGCAGCAGAAATTTGCATAAGTAACAAGGAGCCAGATGTTAATCACCAAGACAATGGGGAAAATATCTCCAGGGCATGTCAGAGACCTTTGTGGCAGCCCCTCCCATCACAGGTCCAGAGGCCTAGGAGGAAAAAATGGCTTCATGGGTGAGGCCCAGGACCCCTCCGCTGTGTGCAGCCTAGGGACTTGGTGCCCTGTGTCCCAGCTTCTCCAGATGTGGCTAAAAGGGGCCAAGGTACAGCTCAGGCTGTGGCTTCAGAGGGTGCAAGCCTCAAGCCTTAGCAGCTTCCACACGGTGCTGAGCCTACAGGTGCACAGAAGTCAAGAATTGATGTTTGGGAACCTCTGCCCAGATTTCAGAGGATGTGTAGAAACGCCTAGATGGTCAGGCAGGAGTTTGCTGGAGGGGCAGAGTCTTCATGCAGAACTTCTGCTAGGGCAATACAGAAGGGAAATGTGGGGTTCAAGCCCCCACACAAAGTCCCCACTGTGGCACTGCCTAGTGAACTGTGAGAAGAGGGCCACCATCCTCCAGACCCCAGAATGGTAGATCCAACACGCACCTGGAAAAGTCACAGACATTCAATGCCGGCCTGTGAAATCAGACAGAAGGGAGGCTGTACCCTGCAAAGCCACAGGGGCAGAGTGCCCAAGACCATGGGAATCTACTTCTTGCATTAGTGTGACCTGGATGTGAGAGAGACATGGAGTCAAAGGAGATCATTTTGGAGCTTTAAGATTTGACTGCCACACTGGATTTTGGACTTTCATGAGGCCTTTAGCCCCTTTGTTTTGGCCCATTTCTCCCATTTGGAATAGCTGTGTTTATCCAATGCCTATACCTACATTGTATCTAGGAAGTAATAATTTGCTTTTGATTTTACAGGCTCATAGGTGGAAAGGACTTGCCTTGTCTTGGATGAGACTTTGGACTGTGGACTTTTGAGTTAATGCTGAAATGAGTTAAGACTTGGGGGACTGTGGGGAAGGCACGATTGGTTTTGAAATGTGAAGACATGAGATTCGGGAGGGGCAAGGGGTGGAATGATATGATTTGGGTGGGTCTCCATAAAAATCTCATCTGTAATTATAGCTCCCATAATTCCATTATGGGAGGGACCTAGTGAGAGATAATTGAATCATGGCGTGATTTCCCCCATGATGGTTCTTGTGGTCATGAATAAGTCTCGCAAGATCTGATGGTTGTATAAGTGGAAACCCCTTTCACTTGATTCTTATTCTCTCTTTGCCCACCGCCATGTAAGATGTCCCTTTGCTCTTCCTTCATCTTCTGTCATGATTCTGAGGCCTCCCCAGCCATCTCTTTTTCTTTATAAATTACCCAGTCTTGGCCGGGCACAGTGGCTCACACCTGTAATCCCAGCACTTTGGGAGGCCAAGGTGGGTGGATCATGAAGTCAAGAGATTGAGACCATCGTGGCCAACATGGTGAAACCCCATCTCTACTAAAAATACAAAAATTAGCTGGGTGTGGTGCCACATGCTACTCAGGAGGCTGAGACAGGAGAATCGCTTGAACTTGGGAGGTGGAGATTGCAGTGAGCCGAGATTGTGCCACTGCACTCCAGCCTGGCGACAGAGCAAAACTCCGTCGAAAAAATAAAAAAAAAATCACCCAGTTTCACTTATGTCTTTATTAGCAGTATGGAAACAGACTAATACAATATAGATGTTCAGAGTACCAATCCCGGAGCAAGGCTGTCTGGGTTTGAATCCTGACTCTGCTACTCTTTGAGGCCTCTGGGTGACCTCAAGGGAGTTAATTAATGTCTTTGTGACTCAGTTTCCTCATCCGTAAAATAGGGATAATACTATCACCTGGTTTATAGGATTGCAGCAATGGTTAAATGGGCTAATATGTGCTAAAACCAGTGACTGACAAGTAGCACTATATGTTAGCTATTATCATCATTAATTATTGTCAATATTAGGTACTTGATCAGTATATAGAATAAAATGAGCAAAACAATGAAATTCTTCTTATGACAAAATATTATTTTCAGCAATATCAAAGCACTTTAAAATAAGGACTCTGTGCTGGGTGCAGTGGCTCACGCCTATAATCCCAGCACTTTGGAAGGCCAAGGCAAGCAGACTGCTTGAGCTCAGGAGTTCCAGACCAGCCTGGGCAACATGGCAAAACCCCATCTCTACCAACAACACAAAAAATTAGCCAGGTAAAGTGGCATACACCTGTAGTCCCAGCTAGTTGGGAAGCTGAGGCTGGAGGGTTCCTTGAGCCTGGGAGACCAAGCCTGCTATGAGCTGAGATCACATCACTTCAGCCTGGGTGACAAAGTAAGAGCCCATCTCAGGGGAAAAAAAAAAAAAAAAAAAGGAAGGACTTTACATTCGGACATAATTATTTCTATTTTTAAGAAAGAGGAAAACAAAATAAAAACCCTCTGGGAGATGAGGCAGACTGTTGATAGTATATGAATGCATCTTTTTCTGCACATTTTTGGAATCACAGACCCTTTTCAGCTGGAAGTGTTTAAGAGGCCATGTATCCCAGCCTTGCAAAGAGTGAAAAGAATTTTTCCCATGACGCAGCTCCTTGAACACTTAAAGGAACACAGAGTTGAATCTTTCCTCAAGCATCTTATTTCACCATCAATCAGGTCAGGTCTTAGAATGTTCTCCCATATATGCTGGCTAAAATATTATCTCCCTGCAGCTTCCATCCACTTATCCTGCTTCTGCCTGTTTGAAGCTACTTAGAACAAGGTCATTCTCTTTCAGATAACAAGCTCCCAAGTATTTTCAGATGGGGCTCAAGTATTCTTTTGTCTTCTGTCTTCCAAGGTAGTATTAATTTTTTCGTCCATGTCTTGGGGGCCATGACTTACATTTGCTTCACCAACCTGATCTTTCTCCACAGGGTGCAGCCTACTGCCACTCTTACTACATGGCATCCCAATGTGAACATGGTACACCACCTCTGCTCTGGCCAGGCAGAGCCCTGAGGGAGCCCTGAGACTGTCACCTTCTTTGTATTAGTAGAAATACAGATTAAGATCACTTGAGATGTTTAGGTTGTTGCATTATACTTTTAGTTTAATTATACTATAGTTCTCAAGCCAGGTGTGTTGAGCCGTTTTTTTGTTTCTATAAAGGAATACCTGAGACCGCATATTTAAAAAGAAAAGAGATTTAATTCGCTCACAATCCAGCAGAATGTACAGGAAGTGTAGTGCCAACGTCTGCTTTTGGTGAGGTCTCAGGAAGCTTACGATCAAGGTAAAGGGGGAGCAGGTGCCTCTCATGGTGAGAACGAAGGTGCCATACTCGTAACCAGATCTCATGTGAACTCAGAGCGAGAACTCATTATCATGAGGAAGGCTCCAAGCCATTTGTAAGGGATTCGCTCCCATGACCCAAACACCTCCCACGGGGCCCCACCTCCAGCACTGGGGATTGCATTTCAATATGAGATTTGGAGGGAACAAACATCCAAATCATAGCATCAGGTTTCTCCATCCTTTACTTCTACAATTCATTTTATAAACTTGACATACCCTGTTATAACCACTTCTAATCTTACTCTTTTGACTCAATGTCTGAACCTATTAAGGCTCTCTTAAATCTTGATTTTCTTTTAGCAATCGCATTAGGTTTCCCATCCAGTCTTTTGCCACGTTCGAACTTGATAAGCATATGATTGCATCCAAGTCAGGCACTTACATCTTCCCCAAGGCAGGATCAGACCACTCATCTAAGGGACTGCCTCTGGGTTGACATATTTTTTTGGATGTAGTTAAACCAGTTTTGAAGTCCTAATTACCATCATTTAACTCAAATGTCTTGCTCTTAACTACAATGTGATCAAGATGATAACAGGCCAATTCAAATCAACATTTAGTTTGTCGAGGCCAGTAGTCTGCGAACCTAGATGCCCTTAAGAATCACCTCTTTTCAAATAAAGGCTAATACAGATTTCCATGTCTTGCCTCTGAGACTCTGAGTCAGAAGGTTTTAAGTGAGGCCTGAGAAGTAGTAATTAAAAAGCACTCCAGGCCAGGCACAGACTCACACCTGTAATCCCAGCACTTTAGGAGGCCAAGGTGGGTAGATTGCTTGAGTCTAGGAGTTCGAGACCACCTGGGCAACATGTTGAAACCCTGTCTCTACAAAAAATACAAAAACTTAGCCAGGCATGGTGTGCCTGTAGTCCCAGCTATTTGGGAGGCTGAGGTGGGAGGATCCCTTTAGCCTAGGAGATCAAGGCTGCAGTAAGCCGTGATCCTGACACTGCACTCCAGCCTGAGTGACAGAGCAATACCCTGTCTCAAAAAATAAAATAAAATAAATAAATAAACAAAGCACCCTAATGGTTGATAGCACTAGTACTTAGGAACCAAGTGATCTTTCTAATCAAAGTGTGGCCAAAGTGTAACTGCAGCACCTGGGGGCTACTTGGGAAAGCTAAATCTCCTGCCCTACCTCAGACCTGAATCAGAATCTACCCTTGAACAACATCCCAGGTGATTCATAGGCACATTAAAGTTTGAGGAGCACTATGTATGCAGTTCCTACAAGTTAGCCCTCTAATTACTCAAGAAGGAAAAGAAGAGGAAGAAAGGCAAGAAAAAGAGAAGTTCCACCTTCTCAGCTTATCAAAATTGCATACAAATTTAAACGTGGGTGAATTGCTTCACCTCTTTTTACCCGAATTTCTTGGTCTATCAAGTGGGCATGGTGATCACAGCTACCTCACAAGGGTGTCGTCAGGATTAAGGGAGTGAATGCTGGTGAAACACTGAGAACAGCACCTGCCCATGCCAAGCTCTCAGTGTTATGGGGTGAATTGTGTCCCCTAGAAAGATATGTTGAAGTCCTAACTCTTGGTACCTGTGAATGGACCTTATTTAGAAAAAAGGGTTTTTGCAGATGTAATCAAGTTAGGGTGATGTCATTAGGGTGGGCTGTAAGCCAATAGGACAGGTGCCCTTATTAGAAGAGGCAAACGCCATGTGAAGATGCAGACACACAGGGAGAAGGCCTTGTGAAGATACAGGCAGAGACTGGAGTGGCACAGCTGCGAGCTAAGGAGCATCAGGGATGAATGGCCACCAGCAGAAGCTAGGAAGAGCAAGGAAGGATTCCCCTACAGGTTTTGGAGGGAGCATGGCCCTGCCAACATCTTGATTTTGGACTTCCAGCTTCCAGAACTGTGAGACAATAAATTTTTGTGGTTTTAAGCTACCTAATTTATGGTGCTTTGTTATGGCAGCCCTAGAAAACTAATTGAGTATCTTGGTCATAATGATTATGGTTGCTACTATAATTGCTAGCAATTGCTGGCATAGGGTTGAGCACTGCAGAGACTGTGGTAACCCTGCCCTCAGGAAGACGACAGCCAAGAACTGTGCCTGGAGGGTGGTAGTAAGTGGATTTTACCCATCTGGTGGGCATTTCAGAGGAGGATCACAATAGGGGAGCAGGTAAGGAGGCACTAAGCAATCTTGGGTGCCCAGAAAGCCTTCCTAGAAGAGATGTCACCTATGCTGAGGGACTGGTAGGGTGAGGTAGGTAAGAAAGTTGCATATGCTGTTCCAGGCAGAGGGACAGTATTCGAACACCCCTGAGATGAGAGAGGCAACCAGTAACAGCTCTGAAATCACATCTGCCATTTCCCTGGTCTGCAAGTTGCTTGCAGACAAAAAATTCCATTAAATGACCAAGTGTCCTCATTTTCTCTCTGGCACCTGGAACATCAATTCCCTCCTTATAGTGGGTGCTCTTCACACTCACTTAAAGACTCTTGTTGAGAAGACAACCGAAAAATGGTCCTTGAGTGATCCTGTCATCTGCTTTAGCCCTTCCTTATTCCCCCTATTGCTCCAAATGTGTGCTGACTTGGTCCTTCTGTCCTCTGTAGTATTTCCACTTGATCTGGGTTATGGTCTCTTTGGTACTTTCCTCACAGTTTCTGGGATTTGTCCCTCATTAAGCAACACATCTTGCCTCTTCTAGGCTTCATTTGTGCATGTTCTTTCAAAAATGTCTCCTCATCAGAAAGCTACTAATGTAGCTACACATTTATTTTCTTTAGAATGATCTAGAAAATTACTTTTATTCTCACTGAACTGATTCCAAGTTTTAGATTCAGTATTTTCATTTTGAGAAATTTCCATCCCTGTTGAACATACTCTCTTTGGGGACTCCTAGCCATGGGTTAATCTGTCTTCTCTGAACTTTTCAAAGATGTTTTCCTAAAAGTAGTGATATATTTGTTCATTTCTTCAGTTAGTATTTATTGAGTGTCTGCTACACAGTAGGCACACAGATCAATGAACAACATGATGGTCTGTCTGCACCCTTGTAGAATTTACAGTCTAGCAAAGGTCAGGTTTGTATCTCATTGGGCCACAGAACTCTAAGGGGACACAGATTCGCTGACAAGATCCTGACAGGAAAGAAACAAAATACTGACCTGGGGTTAGTGAGGAGAGTCCAGTGAAGAGACAATCTACAAAGCTGTGGGGAGGGTTGAGGGAAACACAAGGGATGGGGAGACAGTCAAGGGCCAGCAACAACAGGATACTGCTAGCACACCTGCTCCTGAAGACCAAGAAGAGAGAGCAGCTGAAAGACAGGGCCACCAACCAGGAAGGACGGCCACCCTCAGGAAATCATGGCCAGTGCCAGTGTGCAGCCTGGCAGGGAAGGAACGAGGACCGTGAGTGCTTGTCATGGTTAATTTTATGTGCCAACTTTGTGAGACCACGGAACTTAGATTTTGGTCAAACACTAGTCTGGATGTTGCCGTGAAGATATTTTTCAGATGTGACTAACATTTAAATCAGTAGACTTTGAATAAAACAGAGTACCCTCCATAATGTGGGGGGACTCATCGAATCAATGGAAGGCCTCAACGGGAAAAAAGACTGAGGTTCCTCAGAGGAGGAAGAAATAGTGTCTCCAGACTGCCTTCCGACTGATGACTGCAACATTGCATCTTTGGCCTGCCCACAGCCTGCCCTGCAGATTTCAGACTTGCCAGTCCCACGATTGATGGGGCAACTCCTTAATATAAATATCTCCCTCTCCTCTCTCTCTCTCTATAGTATAGTATATGTATATATGTGAAATATACACTCACACCCCATTGGTTCTGTGTCTCTGGAGAAGTCTGATTAATACAGTACCTAGCCTTTCTCTCTTCCTACTCTTTGGTTTCCTGCCAGTGCCTGCCAAATGCAACCAACCAAGCTGCAGGGAAGGGAGCCTACAGATCCTGGCTGTGCAGGTCAGCCTCCCGGGGCGCAGAGCAGAGGGGAGAGGATGAACAGCTGATCTGGAGGATCAACTCAAGATTGTCAAGCACCAGCGGTTACTCTCCCACCAAGAAGCATTTTCCCTGCCTAACTCCCACCGTGTTACTACTGCCTTAAGACATTTCGCAAGCTCCCTTTCAGGGGTGGAGATGTCCCACACAGCCACGTCTTTTGTGACCTCAGCCCTTCCTTTCTGCCCAGCCTTCCCTCCCGCCTCTCCCTCACCTCCCACTTTGTGTTTCTGAGGTAATTCCCTGAAGCACTTGTGATTTCCCACACTGGGCAGGTTTTTTTCCCGGCTGCTGTGCCTCTGTACACAGGCTCCATCTGCCATGCTGCCCTTTGCCCCTGTCCATTTGCAGAGTCTTGTTTACCCTTCCAAATCCAGCTCATGGGGCATATGCTTTGTGAAGTGTCTTCTGTTTGCTCAGGCCCAGAATACCCCCAGTTTTCCCTGTTGCCTCTGTATGATTCTATTATTGTGTGGATTATACAGAATTCAGTGATTCATACAGAGGTCCATCCTTCCCACTGCACTGTGAGCACCATGAGGACAGACATAGAGTGTGATCTGTCTCTATCTCAGCATCCAGCTCAAAGCCTAAACCAGGCACCCAGGCACCTGCCAAAGAGGTTCTCACAGCCAGGCATGGTGGCTCATGCCTATAATCCCCACGCTTTGGGAGGGCAAGGTAAGAGGATCGCTTGAGACCAGGAGTTCGAGACCAGTCTGGGTAACATAGTGAGACCCCATGTCTAAAAAAATTGTTTTTTAATTAGCCAGGTTCCCACTTGAGTCCAGGAGTTGGGGCAGCAGTGAACCCTGATCATGTCACTGCACTCCATCCTGGGCAACAGAGTAAAGATCCTGTCTCAAAAAAAAAAAAAAAAAAAAAAAAAAAAAAAAGAAAGAAAGAAAGAAAGAAAAAGAAAAGGAAGAAAAGAAAAGAAAGAGGTTCTCAGGCTTCTCATTGGGATGCCGATGTGCTGCTCTTCTCAGGAGAGTTTCAAATGGCAACTTCAGCTTTCTAAAACCCCTACGTTCTGAATATACCTGTGTTTCTGCACAGCATACGTTTTGAAACAGCCTAGGAAATATATTGGAGATTTATGTATTGGCAAGTATCTGATGTCAACCTCACTCATACCAGCTACCCACAGTGTGTACAGAAACACCCTGAGCAACATTCTTCGGCTGCTTCGGGCGGAGTGAAGTGCATAAAAAGCAAGTCAACAGTTGGACAAGGCTCTCTTGGTTCCTCTTGTCCTGAGGTCTCAGCAACAAGTCAAGCTGTTATAAAGCCCTTTTCAAAATTGTTTTGTCAGTTGCACACTAGAGATTCATTTCATGGAGTTCTGTTAAAGTATCTGACACACAGATTTGTATGTGTACTGGGGGAGTGTGAGGGGAAAATATAACAGGTTTCTTTAGCCCAATTTTTTTTTAATACAACCCTTTTTCATGTTCCCCTGAAACAAACTACAATGGCCAATTTCAAATCAGTTTCCAGACTCTCTAACCATAACATGGAATTTCACACTGCCAGTAAATGCTGAAAGGCTGTATTTCAAGCTGAAGTTCATTGCAAACAACACCCCACCCACTAAGAATGAGCTTCTTTTTAAAAAATTTTAAGCCACCAGAATGAGTCTTTGACTGTTTAGGAAGGTTGGGATCAAAAACAGAATGGCCAATATAATAACGTAATGGAGAATAATTCAATTAAATGCAATCTTGCTGGATTAGTAAATTTTGTGTCATTTCACCTGTGTTTAATTCCTGAAAAATACAATTCCACAAGCATTTATTTGGCGATGTGTTTGCGCGAGGCACAGAGCTGGTTGATCAGAGGAAGCTCGGTGAGATCCATCCCTGCTCTCAAGGAGCCTGCTGTGTACAATGCCACCGCCTCTGCAAACTTACCAAGCTTATCCCAGCAAATTTCTCCTTCCCTTGGCTTATGTTATAGTGGACCATGAGGTGCCCAAAGCCCCTCTGGAATTTGCAGTTCCAAGAACAAATAGTTATTTCCTTTTTTGCTTAAGTCAATTTAGTAATTGTCATTCAAAACCAGATGAACGCCTTGAAGAATAGCAGAATTTCAACAGGTAGAGATGGGGGAGAATATCATTGTAGAAAATGGAAACAGTGTGGATCAAGGTAGAGTGGATCTCGTGCAGGGTCCCCTTGGTGAACAGTGGCCATGTCCGCAACACTGGGTGCATTGGGACAGGTAAATGGAGAGGAGATAGGGTTCAAAATACAGCTTGTGAGTCATATGCTAAGAGACTTGGCTGTCTCCTTAAAGAATTGTGGGGAGAAGGCAGAGAGCGATGTAAGGGTTTGGGCAAGGATGTGCATGGCTTGATTCATGCTTGGGGTCAGTGGCTCTGGGGACAGGCAGTGTAATGGATGGATTTAAAGTAAGAGCGAGTGAAGGCACAGAGTTCTCTTGGTGTTTATAACTTTTCTTCTTAATACCTTACTCTTTAGATTTTATGATATGTTACAGATGTACAAGTTGTGTATTCATGCCTTGCTTCCTCTCTCAGGAGATAGGCTTTCTGGCTCAGTGAAATTATTCCCTCTCCTGTCTGCATTAGGAAGGTAGCCCCTACAATTATAATGCATGTTACTTCTTGTATGCAGCTAACTTGAGTTTTTTGCCCCTTCTAGTAAAGGTTAAGTGTGTGCTGTAAAATCTTGACCTATGTGGCCTAAAATTGCAAAGTGATCTTTTGTCTCAAAATGTGAACTCCTTGATCTAGCAATTCCATTGATGAGAATTTGTCCAAGGGAAATAGGATGGACACAAAGATTTGTCTGTAAAAACATTCATCTCTGAATAAGAATTTTAAAACTTGGAAGCAGCCTATAACAATGGTGTTAAATTTAGGAAGCAGATTACAAAACAAAGTGATTCTATTTTATTTATTTATTTATTTATTTATTTATTTATTTATTTATTTAGAGACAGAGTCTTGCTCTGTTGCTCAGGCTGGAGTGCAGTGGCATGACCACAGTTCACTGCAGCCTCAACCTCCTGGGCTCAATCAGTTCTCCCACCTCAGCCTCCCAAGTAGCTGGGACTACAGGCATATACCACAATGCCCAGCAATTTTTTTTTTTTTTTTTTTTTTTTTTCGTAGAGACAGAGTTTTGCCATGTTGCCTAGGCTGGTCTCAAACTTCTGGGCCCAAACAATCTTTCTGCCTTGGCCTCCCAAAGTGCTGAGATTACAAATGTGAGTTATCATGCCCAGACTGATTCTATTTTTTTTAAAAAAAGAAAATTAATAAAGAATTCACGAAGGAAGAGTCTAAGGATATTGACCAAACTTGTGTGGGTATTTTTATTTCATTCTTTGGCTTTTAAAATATTTTATAAATTTTCTTCAATGAATACATAGAAATGAATATCAAATAAATGAATATTGAAAAAAATTGTTGGTAATCAGGAAAAGATGCCATTTAATTACTTTAATGCAAGAGGGGTAGAGTGCAGTTCAGAACCATTGTTAGTTACGTTCCATCTCTTGGGTAAATCTAGGCTTCAGAGTCTCCTTTCGAATAGGGTGATTACTGCAGATAAACTCAAAGATCCTCTACAACTCTAATGTCTTACCACATTATTATGCCTCTCTGTGTCCTGTAGCACCAGGTATGAACCTCATCATAGCAGCCATCACAAGGTGAGTCATTCTCAGTTATGTGTTTGCTTCTCCAATGGACTGGAGCACCTTGGGGGCAGAAACAGTCTTGTAGCTCTTCTCTTTGACACGAGCATCTGGTTTCGAGTGACAAAAAGGAAATTACTATTCATTCTTGGAACTACCAAGTCCAGAAATAGATCTATTTCAGATGTAGCTGGATCTAGTGTCCAAATGATTCTACCCAGAGTCTGTCTCTCTCAGCTCTATGTTGGTTTCTGTTGGCCTCTGTCAGGCTGCTGGCAGCCTCAAGCTCAAATTCTTACAACTTCTGTCTCCACTGGGGGAGAGAGATTAATCTTCTCAGTAGTTCCACAGAAGTCCCAGGATTGCTTTTCTTTGTGTTCCATGCACAGCACAGTGGCCAGGGGCTTAGCATATGCCAGATACGCCTCCTGTGGCTGGTAGGAGTCATGCGGGGAGGGATGCAAGGCTGGTCTCTCCTAAAACAGCCACATGCACCAAGAGTAGGACTGGTGGTTTCCCAAAGGACAATCAAGATGCTGTCACCAGAAAAGGGGGAAACGAATTCTGGGCGAGAAAATAACAGTGAAATCTCCACTTGTGCCCCCAGCCCCTTGAACCACGCTGGGCATCAACTGGGTAGGGCCTCAGTGAAGCTTGTAGAATGAGTGAAGGGTCAATGCAAACTGTCACTACCCCCATCCCATAGAGAAACTTAAATCTCACTCGATTCTGATTACCCAGGTACAGCCTGACTTATGATTTCTATGATTATAAATTCTGGCTCCTAGTTTTTCAAATACTTGGCTTAATCTCAGCTACTTACAAAAATTTGAGGTTATTTTTATAAAGTCATTTTTATAAAGCCATTTGCCTCTTCAGCCTTTATACACATTCATTTTCTTAGAGTCAAGTAAGAATTTCTGTTGGATTAATATACACGAACATGACCATTGTAACTCTCAGTTCCAATCCAGGCACTGTCATTAACTGATTTATGCTTTGTCTTTGAAAGACTGTTGAAATATTTCTCTTTATAGTATGTGGGAAATAGTCCAACTCAAATACAGGTTATTTTACTTCATAATTGTAAAACTCTCTTGCCAGAGAAGCAAAGCAAAGAGCAGTAGGGATTCTAGTATTCAACACTCCACTTTAATGCAGGATTTTTCCTAGTGATTAAATTTCTATATTATGATTTTTAAAGATTTAATACAAGCATATGTAAAAAAATTAAATAGTACATAAGAGTATATAATGAACAATAAGTCTTTCTTCTATCCTTGATCCCCTTTCATGGAGGCAACTACTGCCAATCATTTTTTATGTATCTTTCCAGAGATATACAATGCAAACATAAGCATATTTAAAATTTGCAAATATAACATGTACTTATCGCCATAGCTCCTTTTTCTTTTTACATAAATGGTAAGAGCAATGCACCTGTTATGCATTTGTTCTACTGAACATTATATCTCAGAGAGTGTTCCATATTAGAACAAACAGCTCTACCTTGTTCTTTTTAATGACTGCATAGAATTCTAATATAAGGATATACTATAATTTTCCTAACCACTCCTCTACTGATGGATATTTAAGTCGTTGAGTTGAGCACTCCAGCCTGGGCAACAGAGCAAGACTCCATCTCAAAAAAAAAAAAAAAAAAAAAGACATCACTGAGGAACTTACCAAAGTAAAGTAAGAGTAAGACAAAATAAGATTTTAAGAGTAAACAAAAATAAAGACGTCTGGCGTGACAATTGGGATTTGTGCATCAAATGAGAGGCTCAGGGGAAGGCCTAGGCTGACTTCCAGAACAATGACTGTTTAGCCTAAAGCTAAACTTAATTTTCATTTTTAAGTTCAGCCTAAAGTTTTCTTGTGCATAATGAATTGCAATCTAACTGGATGTGTGAACATACTGTAACCTACTCTTGTGCCAGTCCCTGAGTTTTGACCAATCAAAGGCAGCCAAGTGTTCAAACTGTGTTCAAATAGGCAAATGCCAAGTTGTAGCCAATCCAGCTGTTTCTGTACCTCACTTCCATTTTCTATATGTCACTTTCCTTTTTCTGTCCATAAATCTTCAACCATATGGCTGCTGCTGGAGATCCTCTGAACCTGTT
The DNA here is from genome assembly GCF_000001405.40 of Homo sapiens. NCBI lineage: Eukaryota > Metazoa > Chordata > Mammalia > Primates > Hominidae > Homo > Homo sapiens. The sequence continues at coordinate 87,624,494 of NC_000010.11, forward strand.
TTGTTTTGGGGGCTGCCCAATTCACAAATCACTCTTTGCTTAATTAAACTTTGTTAAATTTAGTTTGTCTAAATTTAGATGGTGTCAAAAGTAGAATTTGAAGTAGAGATTCCAGTGTCTCCCAGGAGCACCAAGGGACCAAGCAGGGACCTGCCGAGCCCCATTGTGTCCATTGCTAAATCACGGCAACCGGGGATCATAAGTTCTCTCTTGGATTCCAGAGCTCCACGGATTTGTGTTTTGAGCTATCTGAGGTTGAGCACATTTTTTATCTGAACTAGATTCAGAAGTCATGACAAAAGCTGGTCTGGGTCAGGCACTGAACTGGATCCAATAATTAACTGACTTGGATCCAGTTAGAGGCCTCGGATGCCTGAGGGGGTCAGGCAGAAACTGGCAGTAGATGGCAAAACTGCAGGGGTGCAAACTTTAGCTTTTGGAAATTTGCAGATATTTTTGTGTTCTACCCCCTTTCTTTTTCTTGCACACTTTAAGTAGGGAGAAATCATTGACTAAGTTGATTAAGAGAATATGAGAACCAAAGCCAAGATTCAAGGTAAAAATGAGATCCTTAATTTCTTCAGAAATTCAGAAATTAAGGAATCTACCTTCCAACTATGCCTACATTTACATGTATGAATATTAGGTCCCAGAAGCAGTAAATGCTATAGAAATGGCAAAATCTTACCAAAGATAATTTAACATTACAATGGAACATTCCAGATGGACAACACTGCACTTTAAGAAATACATTTGATGATGGCCACAAAGAGCTGTTAAAAAACAAAAAATTGAATTTGAAAATGAGGGCTCCCGAATTAGAGTCATCCAATGATGCCTATTAATGTGAAGCTTCTAAAAAGATTTCAATGTTTTTATTGCTTTCAAAGAAAATACTCTTTATAAAAGGCAAATAAAAAGCTTAACCGTTTAATTGATAAGAAGAATTAAATCTGCTAAATGTTTGGCTTGGTTACTATCCTACCCTGAAGGCAAAAAGAAAGCTATCCTGGGTAAAATGTTTATAAAACATTTTGGTAGACTTGTTAGAGATGAAATAGACTTGCTTCCTTTTCAGATCTATCCATGCTGAGTCCAGGCATAGAGAATGCTTTCTTTGCTTTATTCCTTAACAGACTCCGCTCTGAACTCAGTAATTTTAGCTAAGAAACAGTAGCTAAGTTAAAAAAAAAAAAACAAAAAAAAACAACTACAACAACAAAAAAAACACCACTCCTAGAACGAAAATACACCTTTCTGGCATTTAACTGGCTATTTTGAAACCTTTTTTAAAAAGAAATTTACATCTATATAGGAAATCTGCATTTGTAAGGGTGTCTGCTGTATACATAAGAAACTTACAATTGTTTTAAATTTACATAACAACTCATACCTTTGTTTAAGGCACTTTTCTGGACAGCCTGTTTTAAGTAAACTTTTACTTACACTATTTTTTCCTTGGCTAGAGTGAATGATGGTACAGTATTTAGGTCTCAAATCTTATTTCTGTGCTTTTGAGATATAAACTTTCTACCTTGTTTCACCTGAGTTGTCCCTTTAGAAATGCAAGTTTAGGGTTGCCTAGCTAACAATTACTTAGGGCAATGAAACACATAATTGGAAGATGGATAGTGTGAATGAGGAAAAGAAAAACTATTTCGAAGCTAGCAAATGAGAATCTTTGTGAAGGGTATAAAATCTGCTTCTGTCTGTGTGTCTGTATATCTATATGTGTTATGTGTATGTGATAGTATTTGGTAAATAAAGCCAGTTTGAAAATTGTTGATAAAATAGGAATGGATTCAAAATTGCCAGTTGAAAATAATTAGACACTTGCTTGATTTGACAGACTGTGAACTTATGTTTTTGGTTTTGAGCCTCTGGAGTTGGGGGTCTGAATAAGTGGCCATGGTAAGGCCTAGGGACATGTTCTCAGTGCCCAGACCAGCAGCTACCAAGCAGAATCAGGCCCAATATGGCCCCTTCTTAACCTGCCTCAGCTTTGCCTCCTGGCTATTCTGGGAGGGGTTCCATCTTCCAGGCCTCTCCTTCACAGCTCTGTCTTCTGTCCTTAGCTCTACAACTAGTATGTAAATTCAGGACTCAGGCCCTGCCCTTCACAGCCTTCCTGGGTGCCACTTGGCTACTTGGGACCCAGGATGACTGTGGAAAACATTAGAAGAGGGTTCCTGTGTCATAGTTTCAAAATTCTTTTCAGTAATTTAGAATCTTTTTGTTTGAGACAGAGTCTCACTCTGCCACTCAGGCTGGAGTGCAGTGGCGTAATCATAGCTCACTCCAGCCTCAAATTCCTAGGCCCAAGTGATCCTCAAGTCAGCTGGGACTAAAGGTACACACCACCACACCCAGCTAATTTTTAAAAAAAAATTTTGCTATGTTGCCCAGGCTACTCTCAAACTGTTGAACTCAAGCAATCCTCCTGCCTTGGCCTCCCAAAGTGTTGGGATTACAAGCGTGAGCTACCGTGCACAGCCAGTAATTTAAAATATTAAATTCATGTTATGTTTGATTAAATAATAGATAATCATAAAATCTCTAAGTCATTTGTAAGCTAAAATACTAAAACAATAATAAACATAAGTTTAAGTTTATATACTTTGACATCTTATTTTTATATGATATAGAAAAGCTAAATATACTTAATGAACAATAATTTAAGGATGCATATTTCTAAAAAATTATAAAATAGTTTTCATCTATAAATACTGATACAAAACAGTTCAAAATTATTTGCTAGGGTTTTCACTAGAACTTAGGTTACTAAGAGTTTAAATTACAGTTAATATATGTAATTAAAACTACTAGATGTAAGACAAACAATTCTGTATAAAGTGTATAAACAAGCAAGATGTGCTTTTAGTGAGGAAAGCTATAAAGTGTGTGTTTGTTAAAAAGACTTTTTTTTGTCTAGTTTGAAGTTACTTAAAGGTTCTTTCAAGTAGAAGGAATAAAAAAGATGTAGATGAAACTCATATAGAAAGTTGAAATGAAAAAGAATTGTATAAATGTACGAGAGATTACGAAAAGTTTATGGAAATCTGGTGTGGTCAAAAGCCAACCGAGGTTTGTTTATAAGTTTTTATTAAAATTAGCTTTGATATCAATAAATACACTAATACAAAAGTAAAATTTTGTTTTATCTTTTGAAAAAAAAATTTCATGTAGTATTAATAAGACAAGTAAAAGTGGCTGGGTGTGGTGGTTGATGTCTTTAATCCCAGCTCTTTGGGAGACCAAGGCAGGTGGATCACCTGAGGTCAGGAGTTCAAGACCAGCCTAACCAACATGGTGAAATCTCATCTCTACTAAAAATATGAAAATTAGACAGGCATGGTGGTAATCCCAGCTACTAGCGAGGCTGAGGCAGGAGAATCCCTTGAACCCAGGAGATGTAGGTTGCAGTGAGTCGAGATCATGCCACTACACTCCAACCTGAGTGACAGAGTGAGACTCCATCTCAAAAAAAGAAAGAAAAAAAAAAAAGACAGTAAAATATTTTTGTTCACCTTTTGAGTAAACTGCAAAAAAAAAAAAACAAAGAAAAGGAGACAAGGGGAGACAGATTTTTTTTTTCTCATATTGTCTTTCTCAGGTCTTTTGATTGCTTGGGTAACTGTGTCTTCTTACTATCAGAGAATAAAGATTTGTGCTTTTAAAAACTTTTTCATTATCACATTGGCTATATAAATGACTATTATTTTACAATGACCTGTGATTCTATTTGGCCAAGTGTTTTAAACCTTTGGCATATTTGACAAGCTTCCTGAAATCACATTTCAACTTCAAAATTTGTCTTTTTTGTTGTTGTTTTTGACCTCTAACTTCAGGGTGCTAAAGAGGGCCTCTGAAGCATACAAAAGAGAGATAAACAGTATTGATATGTTAAATTACATGGAAAGCATTGTCAAATAAGAAATACTGTTTAACCTTCTTCAAGTTATATTTTTATAAATGTTATTAATATATGTTCTAAAATTGTATGGAATTCCTAAAATTCTGATATGTCTGTATGCTATCAGCCATAATTATGGTTATATTAAATTTTTGTAGGTCACAAAATAACCAAATTTCCTTCTCAATTGTACTCTTTAACTGTGATCATTTTAAGTCATTTCCACAGTTAATTGCTTACTTCTGATACAGTTTCTGGAAACTTCACAAGCAAGCAAAATCCTAGAGCATTGTGTCTTCAAGGAGTTTCATGAAAACGATAAAAAGAACCCTGACAAGCACTCTTGAATAAGGCTTCTGATAGCTTTAGGATAATAACATTTGGACTTGGTAAGAATTCCCAGAATTCTAATGAAGAAACCGACTGGTTTATAAAATTGCTAACCTAAGCAGGATAAAAATTAATTGGATACCAAGAAAATACTTTGCCAGATTTTCAAGCTAAATCAGTCAGTATTGAAATTGTTTAAATATGCAATTTGAATGAATTTCATGCTCCAAGTCAAATGATAACTCATCTAATAAACAGTGCTATGCTCCTAAATTGAAGAAACGAAATTGATATTCAAGAGGGTATAAGTTCAATGTTAAGCATGGACTTATGGAGAGCCTGGATGGCAAACTAGACCTTCTTGGTCCTTAAAGCTTCCAATATTAAAAGCTTTGCATTCCATGACTTATAATGGAAGAAATAAAAATATAAATTAAACACACACACACACACACACACACACACACTGACTATTCTAAACTGCTGAAATAATTTATGACCAATGTTTGCTTTGTCAAACCCAAAATCCTGCAAAGATGATCAAAACTTCAGGTACATTTCTGATACCTGATGGCCTGTTTAAACATTTATAGAGGGATTTCATGCAATTGTTATTTTCAATGCATGTTTTCTGGTTGTATAGAAGGTTTCCCATGCAAGAAGATTGATGTTATTACAGCAGCTAAAAGGTTATTAGAAATTGTTTTTCTCTAATGGGACATTTCTGGAGAAATCTCTAGTGATAGAGGTACTTGTTTCACTGAACAAGTTGTAATAGTTAAATATGGTATTACAGATACAATAGCAATAAATAAAACTAACTGAATATTGAATTGCCTTGGTCAGAGGTATTGCAGAATGATGACAGTCAGATCCATTTAAAGCGGAAAACATAAGTTGACCCCTTATGCAATAATCACTGGAAGGCTTATGCACTTAATAATAGAAGCTCATTATCTTTTATCACTAAACTCTGATATGACTAAATGCGGCAAGACTTTTAATGCATTGTGCCAAAGTGTATTTTCACCAGGTGAAGAGGTTTTTCATGGTCCACTGACTAAGGACGATCAAACCCTTCACAATCTATAATAGAACCTGGAGACTGGGTCTTCTAAGAACAACATCAAAGAAAAACTACCTTTGCCACCCGCACTGCGGCAAAACTTGAGGATCTTGAACCTTGAGTTCACAACTCAGAAGCTCCCCTCCAGACTCTTGGAACTATATAGCCATTGGGTACCTAAGATAAAGCTAACCAGGGAAGTTTCTCCCCAGAAACAGACAGCATCTTTGACATACACAGCTTTTTCCCAAGAGCATGTTTTAAGGCTTCTCTGCTATCATGAGATTCTCATCTCTAAATTTTTTCCTTGCCTATGTCTCTGTGAACAATAGAACTGAAAAAGGGGCCTCTTGTGTGCACTCATGAGGTATACATTTATTTTTGGAGGATGTCACAGCCAGCCTTATCAATAAACAATCTTCTGCCTTGACAGACGGAAGAGGAAGGGCCAATGTAAGTGAGAAATTTTAATGGTAACTTTGTTGCTTCATTATCTATCAAAACCAGAACATTTGTCCACACCTCTTAACCTACATCATAGGTTAAAGAGAACATTGCCAGAGGCCTTCATTCTTTTGGATGGGCATCATTTATTAGGTCTGTTTTTCCATGGTTTAAAGTAAATGAGGCAATGATTAGAAATGTATCCCTCGGCTGGGCGCGGTGGCTCACGCTTGTAATGCCAGCACTTTGGGAGGCCGAGGCTGGCAGATCACTTGAGGTCAGGAGTTTGAGACCAGCCTGGGCAACATGATGAAACCCCGTCTCTACTAAAAAGACAAAAAAAATTAGCTGGGCGTGGTGGCGTGTGCCTATAGAAGGCTGAGGCAGGAGAATCGCTTGAACCTGGGAGGCAGAGGTTGCAGTGGTCTGAGATTGCGCCACTGCACTCCAGCCTGGGCGACAGAGCAAGACTTCGTCTCAAAAAAAAAAAAAAAGAAAGAAATGTATACCTCATAATAGTCTGTAGATCTGTACAGCAGATTCTACTGCAAAGGCTATGGTTACACAACAGACTTTAAACTCTCTTGTGTATGTTGTGCTAATTAATAGAATTGCTCTAGATCATCTACTGGCTAAACAGAAGTATCTGTGCAGTTGCTGATACATCTAGTTGCCCATGGGGAAATACACTGGACGTTATAGAGACTTGACTGTAGGGAATTAATGAACAGGCTGCTTGGTTGGAATGAATAGACTTTTTATCTAGCTCATTCTTTGGTCTATTTGATTTTAGTTGGTTTGGTTCATGGGAACCCCGGCTAAGGAGCATACTTCAAACTTTTGGTATTACCCTCCTGATAGTTGTAATAAGAGTCTCCCTGGTTTGTTGTATTCCCTCAAAAGTTTTAAATATTTGCAAGCAGCCATCCATAAAATGTCAAATGGTCTTTCTTCAACTGGAATGATAAAAACTAAAAGAAATATGAACATGGGGTAACGTAACCTAAGAATGATATGCTGAGAGTGGAAACCCAAAATGATGATAACTGAGAGTGGTGCTAAGGCTGTAAGTTTTGGTTATACTCTCACCTAAATGAGAACCTAACCAAAAGGGGAGAATTTTTAAACAAAATGATGGGAGACCATTATTTTGGATTGAGCTCAGGTAGTAGGCCACAACAGACCAGACCAAACCAAACCAAAATGGAGTCACTCATGCTAAATGCGACATAATCAAATTGAAATTTTAATGAAGCAGGTAGGTCCTAAAACAGGCCAAGTTTCGTTTTTCTCCTGTAAACAGGAGATTGCAGCACAAGAAGGTCCCCTCTACTGTAACCCTTACAAACATAGGCTGGGCATGGTGGCTCACACCTGTCATCTTAGCACTTTGGGAGGCCAAGGTGGGTGGATCTCTTGAGCTCAGGAGTTCAAGACCAGCCTGGGCAAATGGCAAAACTCCATGTGTATTAAAAAACAAAAACAAGATGCCTTTATTCCCACCTTGCAAAACCCACTGTTTTGCTATTTCTCAATGGGATTTAAGACAGCATAAGGATATTTAGCATGGTAGTAGAGTAACATCAATGCCTACAGTTTTGGTCAATCTCTCAAAACTGGGGAATTGCTAAATTAAATTTAATCCAAAGCGCCTACTTACATATTTTAAGTTTGACCTAACTTATGGTATCTTCATACTGAATAAACTGTAACCTAACTGGATGTATTAGTCCATTTTCATACTGCTATGAAGAAATGACTGATGTAATCCCAGCACTTTGGGAGGTGGAGGTGGGTGGATCTCAAGGTCAGGAGATCGAGACCATCCTGGCTAACATGGTGAAACCCCGTCTCTACTAAAAATACAAAACAAAAATAGCCAGGTGTGGTGGCAGGCACCTGTAGTCCCAGCTACTCAGGAGGCTGAGGCAGGAGAATGGCGTGAACCCAGGAGGCAGAGCTTGCAGTGAGCTGAGATCACGCCACTGCACTCCAGCCTGGGCAACTTGAGTGAGACTCCGTCTCAAAAAAAAAAAAAAAATTAGACTGGGTAATTTATAAAGAAAAAGAGGTTTAATGGACTCACAGTCCTGCACAGCTGGGGAGACCTCACAATCATGGCAGAAGGTGAAGGAGGAGCAAAAGCACATCTTACATGGCGGCAGGCAAGAGAGTGTGTGCAGGGGAGCTGCCCTTTATAAAACCATCAGATTTCATGAGACTTATTCACTATCATGAGAACAGCATGAATGCCTCCATGATTCAATTACCTTCCACCAGCTCCCTCCCATGACATGTGGGGATTATGGGAACTACAATTCAAGATGAGATTTGGGTGGGAATACAGCCAAACCGTGTCACTGGATTTGTAAACAGACTGTAAACTACTCTTGTGTTGATCACTGAGTTTTGGCCTATCAAAGGCGGCCAACTCTTCAAACCGCATTCAGATAAGGCAATTGCCAAGCTGTAACTGATCCAGCCAGTTTTGTACCTCATTTTCATTTTCTGTCTGTCACTTTCCTTTTTCTGTCCATCAATTTTCAACCATGTGGCTGCTCCGGAGACTCTCTGAACCTATTCAGGTTCAGGAGTTGCCAGATTTGTGAATCATTCTTTGCTCAGTTAAACTCTGTTTAATTTGTCTTAGGTTTTTCTTTTAACACTCAGTTGTAACTCTATTGCCTACATAAGTTGGAGAATGAATATGGCTCTGGAGTGACCGACTGACTGGCTTGCTCAGGACTGAGATATTTTCCAGGACTTTTGATTTTAAAACCAGGACAGTCCCAGGCAACCCCTGATAGTTGGTTACCCTTTTTGGGTATTGAAAGGCTCTGAGCCATACTATGTGACCATTCTATTTCATTAATCTTTCTATTCTGAATCCTTCCTCTGATATTCTGTGGCTAGACCTTATCCTGAGTTATAGACCTGGGAATAATGCCTTGAAAGTTAAATGGTTCCTTTGGATAAAGTAAGTCTATTAACCAAAGACAAGTCCATTTGCAATGGACTTCAGCTCTCTGAGTCTTTATTGAAGTCTTGAGCTCTCTATTAAAATCAAGTAATCTCTATTAAACACAAGTAATCACTGGCTGATTCAGGTGCTTTATAAATCTATTTTAATAATTTGCTGGAGGTTGTAAATTATAACAAGGTGAATGAAGCCAGTGATGAAGTGTTGTGTTGGGATAGCTTTCTCCCTGAGAGGAGAAACTGAGGCAGATAAGAACTGAGAAATGGATAGAAAATTATCCAAAGAAGTTACACAAATTGGCCAATAAACACATGAAAAATGTTCAATATCATTAGCCATCAGGGAAATGAAATGCAAAACCATGAGACAGCACTTCACACTCACTAGGATGACTATAATAAAAAAGACAGACAGTAACAAGTGTGGGGGAGGATGTGGATAAATTGGAACCCTAACACATCACTGATGAGATTCTAAAACGGTGCAGTCACTTTGGGAAACAGTCTGGCAGTTCCTCAAATGGCTAAACAACAGGTTGACGTATAACCTAGCAATTCCACTCCTCAGTGTATGCCCAAGAGAAATGGAAACACATATCTACACAAAAACTTGCATGTGTGTGTTCACAGCAGCACTAGTCACAATAGCCATAAGGTGAAAACAACCAAATGTTCATTGATAATGAATAAATAAAATGTGGTATATCCATATGATGGAATATTTATAAAATATTTCATAAAAGAAATACTGATACATGGTACAACATGGATGAACCTTAAAATACTACGCTAAGTGAAAGAAGCCAGACACAAAATGCCATATACTCTATGACTGCATGTCTATGAAATATCCATACCAGGCAAATCTATAAAGAGACAGTAGATTAGTGATTGCCAGACTCTTGGGTTGGGGGTGGGGGTTGGGAAAATTGTGGAGTGATGGTCAAGGAGTGCAGGAAGTTTAGGGGGTAATGAAAATATTATAAATTTGATTTTGATGATAGATGCACAACTCTGTGAATATACTAAAATTCATTGAATGGCACACTTTAATTGGGTGCATTTTATGCTATGTGAATTACATCTCAGAGCTGTTAAAGAGAAAGAAATAGAAGATTGTTCTGAGCTTTGCTTCTGTTTCATGGCACAACCAAGACCGCATTACAAACCTGACTCAACAAGGTTACGTGAAACTCAGGCTCAGCAAGTCCCCACCTCATCAGACTCTCTCTTCATGTCAGTGAGAAAAGTGCCAGGAATGTTAAGTTCTTCTTACTATGGGATTTAAAAAAGGAAGTGACCAGGTCACTATCTGTATTAGTCAGGGTTCTCCAAAGGGACAGAACTAATAAGATATATGTATATATGAAAAGGAGTGTAATAGGGAGGATTGGCTCACATGATTACAAGGTGAAGTCCTATGACAAGCCATCTGCAAGCCAGGGAAGAGAGAAGCTGGTAGTAGGTCAGTCCAAGTCTGAATGCCTCAACACCAGGGAAGCAGATAATACAGGCTTCAATCTGTGGTCAAAGGCCCAAGAGCCCCCAGCAAGGCACTGATGCAAGTCCTAGAGTCCAAAGGCCAAAGAACCTGGAGTCTGATGTCCAAGGGCAGGAGGAAGAAAAGAAAGAAGACTCAGCCAGCAAGGTTATTCCACCTTCTTCTGCCTGCTTTGTTCTAGTCACACTGGCAGCTGATTGTATGGTGCCCCCCACATTGAGGGTGGGTCTTCCTCTCAGTCCACTGACACAAATGTCGATCTCCTCTGGCAACACCCCTCACAGACACACCCGAAATAATACTTTACCAGCCATCTAGGCATCCTTGAATCCAATCAAGTTGACATCTAACATTAATTTCACAAGTCCACACCTTGTCAATTGGGCACCCATATACATCTCCTGAAATCATACTTAATCTCCAAATAAAGACAATAAGAAGGTCATAATTACACCTACCAGAACACAACTATTCTTCATACAACCGAAAGCACACTAATCTTTAACCTAAATGCTATTACATAAAGTTAGCACTTAAATACTGCTATGAAGTCAATAAATCTTATGTTACATGATAAAGGTAAAAGCAAGTAAATGAAGATATTTCTTCAATATGGGTGTAAACATGCACAAACATATTCTTAACAAAATAAACAGGAATTACAGTCCTCATTTCTGCAAGTGGTCATAGCTCATATTGATAACTACCTTCTTCTACTACACATTCTATATTCCCTTTGCCTTCAGCAAGCCCCTTAGCTGGTGATTTTTTACCTGGTGGAGTGAACTAAATCTTCATCCTTGAAGGGCCTGGGTTATTTGTAGTCATGCCTGGATTGCATTTTTATAGTTTCCCATTGATCTTAATCACAGGGCATGGTAATACTAAGAGATGGCCTAAGGAATCTCCTGTATTCCAGACATGCTCTTCTTGACCTCCATTGTGTAGTAGTAGACTGATTTTATCTTGATAGTTCGGGTCAATCACCCCAGTCAACACTGTAACTCCTCTTAGCCTGTTGACTTAGAGGCAGGAGGAGCCCAAAGTGGCAAGGTGATAGTCTTAACTTCCAGTTCAATTGAATCATTGTGTCTTCTGGTGGCAACATTCTTCCCTCTGGAACTAAGACCTCTAGGCCTTAATTGACAGCAGAATGTAACGTTGCAGGAACAGGAAGCAAACGTTTTGCTAATGAGTCACTAGGGGTGACGGTGAGTGGTGCCACTTTCACTTCTACCCCTTGATTCCTAGACAGGCTATGGGAGAAGCAGTTTCATACATTGAATGCTGATTCAGAGCACCCACCGTCTTCTGCAGAACTTTGTCCCAGGCCTGCAAAGTATTGTCACCTAGTTGGTGCTGTGATTGTGACTTCAAAAGGCCATTCTTCCCATTCTATCAAGCCATCTGCTTCAGGATGATGGGGAATATAGTAAGACCAGTGAATGCCATGAGCATGAGCATACTGCCACATTTCTTCAGCTGTGAAGTGAGTTCCTTTTTCAGAGGCAATTGTATGTGGAATACAATGATGGTGGATAAGGCATTCTGTGAGTCCATGGATGGTAATCTTGGCAGAAGCATTGCATGCAGGAGAGGGAAATCCATATCCAGAGTAAATGTTTATTCCAGTAAGAACAAACTGCTGCCCTGTCCATGGTGTAAGAGGTCCAATGTAATCAACCTGCCACCAGGTAGCTGGCTGATCACCCCAAAGAATGATGCCGTACTGAGGGCTCAGTGTTGGTCTCTGCTGCTGGCAGATTGGGCAATCGGTGGTGGCTGTAGCCAGGTCAGCTTTGGTAAGTGGAAGTTCATGTTGCTGAGCCCATGCATAACCTCCATCCATTGCCACCATGGCCATTTTGTTCATGAGCCCATTGGGCAATGACAGGGTTGGCTGGGGAAAGAGGCTGAGTGGTGTCCACAAAATGGGTCATCCTATCTACTTGATTATTCAAATGCTCCTCTGCTGAGGTCATCCTTTGGTGAGCATTCATGTGGGACACAAATATCTTCACGGCTTTTGACCCCTCAGAGAGGTCCACACACATACCTCTTCCCAAGATTCATTTGTCACCAATTTTCCAGTTATGCTCCTTTCAAGTCCCTGACCATCCAGCCTAACCATTGGCTACAGCCCACTAATCAGTATATAATCCCACATCTGGCCATTTCTCCTTCCAAGGAAAGTGCACGACCAGGTGCACTGCTCAAAGTCCTGCCCACTAGGAAGATTTCCCTTCACCTCTGTCCTTCAGGCATGTCCTAGAAAGGGGCTGTAGTGCTACAGCTGTCCACATTCAGGTGGTGTCTGCATACTGTGCAGTACCATCTGTAAACCAGGCCCTAGTCTTGTCTTCCTCTGTCAACTGATCATAGGGAAATCCCCATGAAGCCATGGGTGCAGCCTGGGAGAGAGAAGGCAGGGTGGTAGGAGTGGGGACCACGGGCATTTGACCCACTTCCTCATGTAACTCTCTTGTGCCTTCAGGACCTGCTCAAGCCCAATCATGTATATACCACTTCCATTGAATGACAAAATGCTGTTGTCCATACCCAACTTTATGGCTAGATGGGTCAGAAAGCACCCAGTTCATGATAGGAAGTTCAGGTCGTGGAGTAGCTTGGTGACTTGTAGTCAAAGGTTCAGTTTCCACCAAGGCCCAGTAACAGGCCAAAAGCTGTCTCTCAAAAGGAAAGTAGTTATCTTCAGAAGATGGTAGGGCCTTGCTCCAAAATCCTAGAGGCCTCTACTGTGATTCACCTATGGGGCCCTGACAAAGGCTCCAAACAGTATCCCTATCTGCCACTGACACCTCAAGCACCATTGGGTCTGCTCGGTCATATGGCCCAAGTGGCAGAGCAGCTTGCACAGCAGCCTAGACCTCTTGCAGAGCCTTCATTTGCTCTGGGCCCCACTCAAAACTAGCAGCCTTTTGGGTCGCTCAATAAATAGGCCAGAGTAACCCACCCAAATGAGGAATGTGTTGCCTCCAAAATCCAAATATGCCCACTAGGCCTTGTACCTCTTTCTTGGTTGTAGGAGGGGACAAATGCAACAATGTATCCTTCACCTTAGAAGGAATATTTCAACAGGCCCCTCACCAGTGGACCCCTAGAAATTTCACTGATATAGAAGGTCCATGAATTTTAGTTGGATTTATTTCCCATACCCTGACATGAAAGTGTTTCACCAATAAGTCCCGAGTGCTTGCTACTTCTCACTCACTGGGTCCAATTAGCATAGTGTCACTGATGCAATGAACTAGTGTGATATCTTGTGGAAGGGAAAAGTGATCAAAATCTCTGTGAGCAAGACATTGCTGGCCTTGCTGGCTGAAGGCAAATTGCCTCTGGTAGGCCTTATGGACAGGAGTAAGAGGCAAATTGCCTCTGGTGGGCCTTATGGACAGGAGTAAAGAAAAAGTTACCAGGTACCAGGAGATGTGTTAATTTGCTCAAACAATGAACCACATCTAGTATAGCAGCTGCAATTGGAGTCACCACTTCGTTAAGCTTATGATAGTCCACTGTCATTCTCCAGATCCATATGTCTTCTGCATAAGCCAAATAAAAGAGTTGAGGCCAGGCGCAGTGACTCATGCCTGTAATCCCAGCACTTTGGGAGGTGGAGGCAGGGGGATCACGAGGTCAAGAGTTCAAGACCAGCCTGGCCAATGTGGTGAATCTCTACTAAAAATACAAAAATTAGCCGGGCATGGTGGCGTGTGCTTGTAGTCCCAGCTATCTGGGAGGCTGAGGGAGGAGAATCGCTTGAACCTGGGAGGCAGAGGTTGCAGTGAGCCAAGATCACACCACTGCAGTCCTATTAGAAACCTTTTTCTAACTCCCCAAGCTGTAGCATTAAATGCAGAATCTCTGCTTAGTGGGCCCATATTAATAAATCCAGCCTGATCCAACTTTACGTTCCTTCCACCTGTCAATGAAAAGAGTCAAATTCTGGAAAATATTTGAAGAGTTTTATTCTGAGCCAAATATGAGTGACCATGGCGCATGACACAGGCCTCAGGAGGTCCTGAGAGTATGTATCCAAGGTGGTTGGAGTGCAGTTTGGTTTATACATTTTAGGGAGGCATGAGACATAAAATACATTTAAGAAATACATTGGGTTGGTCCAGAAAGGTGGGACAACTCAAAAGTGAGGGAGGGTGGGAGGGTTGGGGGGTGGGGAGGTGGTGCATGGCTTCCAGGCCCTAGGTAAATTTAAACATTTTCTGGTTGACAACTGGTTGAGTTTGTCTAAAAAGACCTGGGATCAATAGAAAGAAAATATTCAGGTTAAGATAAAAGATTGTGAAGACCAAGGTTCTTTTGAAGTCTTACAGTGGCTGCCCTTAGAGACAATAGATGACAAATGCTTCTCCTATTCAGGTCTTTGAAAGGTGTTGACTTTTAGTTAATCTCTTTAGGATTGGGAGGGCCTGGAAGAAAAAGATCTAGTTATGTTAATAGAGATTCTTATAGATGCCAATTTCCCCCCACAAAAGACAGCTTTGCAGGGCCATTTCAGGATATAGCAAAAAAACATGTTTTGGGGTAAAATATTTTTATTTTCTTCCTTGTCTCATGATGTTATGCCAGAGTCAGGTTGGAAAGTAAGTTACCGTATATAGGGTTAAATAAAATCCATCCGATGAGAATTTATGGTTTGTAGGGCATGACTCCCCAGACCCCTTAGATAGGAATTTGGGCAAGATAAAAAAAATAGAACTTAGTACTCACATCATTATCCCATACCTTTAATGTCCATTCCCACACGTATTCTCCAGATTTCTGCTTCTATAAATTAGAAAACTCAAGTAGTTCTTTCCTCATGGGTCACACTCTGAACTTCACCTCTAGGGACCTGCTGGCACTTGAGTCTAGTTACTGCCATAGAAGCAAAGAGTGGGTGTTGGGGCTGGGTCCTGAGGAGAAGCAGCATTGTCTTGCCTGGCAACTGCCTCAGGGGGACCATCACTGTTTCCTCAAGCAATGCAGGGTTAATCTCTTCAGACAAATGTAGAAAGGCTGATAGCAGCCTGGGTCGGGGAGGGGATGTTGCCACCACTGTGAGTGGGGAGGCCGTCTCCTCTGGCAAAAAAAGGCTTATTAGAATTTAGGAGCTCAGTGCCCCCAAATTCATCAAAGTCCTCCCACACATCCCTGTCCCAAGTTACAGGGTCTCATTCCTTCCCTACCAATGCCCTTATTTTAACAGTAGACACCTGGTAAGGCTAAGCATGAACCTTTTGCTGTAGGCCTTGTGTCTGATTCTCAGCAATTTCAGCCCTTTGTCTGCAGATGATAAGACTCTCACCCAGGGCAATCACAGTAGATTTGAGGCTACATATGTGCTTCTGAGGCCAGAAGATAGAATTCCTGAGCTCATCCTTTTTTTTCAGCACTTGTCCAGTGAACTTAGGAACAACCAACCAATTTCATTATATTCCTTGGTTCTCTGCAAATGTTCAAAGTTACTGTGTATAGAGTCACTAAACCCCTTGACTCTGAGGAGCAGTGAATCAGAAGTATAAAATGCATTTATTTTTCACAATTCTAAACCACACCAAGAACTATCAGTGTTCTCCATACTATTAGAAGTAGAGTCCTTAGCACTTTTAGGTCTAATCAGATTAAAGAGCCAACTCCAGAAACCCCAACACCAACTAAAGAAATCCATCCTTAAAATGGATGGAAAGGACATGTGTTTGCTAAGCTTTTACCATTTACAGAGTTTTGGTTGAAACTGTAGGAATCTATTTAAAGAACTCAAATTATCCTGGCCAATAGGAGGGAGAGTTTATTTATGATCTGAAAATAATACTTAGTCTATTCTCCATTCTTTTGATGCCAACAAGGAAAGAAACCTGGTCAAGAAAATGCTCTGATGTGTGTTTTTTGATATCAAGCTCCTGCCTTTGGACTCAACTGACATATATATATATACACACACACACATATACACACACACACACACACACACACACACACACACACACACAAAAGGGAGTTTGTTAGGGAAAATTGGCTCACATGATTACAAGGCAAAGTCCCACAATAGGCCATCTGCAAGCTGAGAAAGAGAGAAGCCAGTAGTGGATCAGTCCAAGTCCAAAAGCCTCAAAACCAGGCAAGCTGATAGTGCAGCCTTCAGTCTGTGGCCAAAGCCCCAAGAGCCCCCGGGAAACCACTAGTCTAAGTCCCAGAGTCCAAAGACCAAAGGACCTGGAGTCTGATATCCAAGGGCACGAGGATCAGAAGGAAGCCAGAAGACTCAGCCAGCAAGGTTATCCCATATTCTTCTGCCTGCTTTGTTCTAGCCATGCTGGCAGCTGATTTTATGGTGCCCACTCACATTGAGGGTGGGTCTTCCTCTTCCAGTCCACCAACTCGACTGTCAATCTCTGCTGATAACACCCTCACAGACACACCCAGCAACAATACTTTACCAGCCATCTAGGTATTCTTCAGTCTAATCAAGTTGACACCTAATAACCATCACACCATCCTTCTACCACAGGCAGTGGCAGGGCTGAAAAGGACATGTGTTTGCTGAGATTTTACCATTTACAGAGTTTCGGTTGAAACTGTAGAATCTATTTAAAGAACTCAAATTATCCTAGCCAATAAGAGGAAGAGTTGATTTAAGATCTGAAAATAATACTTAGTCTATTCTCCATTCTTTTGATGCCAACAAGGAAAGAAACCTGGTCAAGAAAATGCTCTGATGTGTGTTTTTTGATATCAAGCTTCTGCCTTTGGACTCAACTGATATGAAATTTCTGATTTTTTTCAACCTGGGCAAGGCTCAAGATATTACTGCAAAAGCATTTTCTCCAATAAAGAGTTTGCTAAGCAAATTGACATTATGAACATGCTTTCATGGACTTATTAACCTACTTTAAAAAACAAGTTGTTTATGAAGTTCACCAGGTGAACATGTGTGGACAGAGCTAATGAATGCAAATACGTCTTCCTAACAGGCTCTCACTCTGTGAATATAGTTCAGAAGCTAGCAGTTAGTTCCTGTTGTTGGAGGTATTTGAAAAAAAAAAGTCAATTTATTTTAAATCATTAAAATTTTAAAAATGGATATACTCTTCTAAAACCATTTGATCTCCTCCTATACAGAATGACTTTTCTACTAATAACTCCAAGTTAATGAACATTTTATTCTGTCTAATAAGTTTTTTTTTTAATTGCATGCACAGACATGGGAGGGGTAGCATGCATAGTGGTTACAAATGTGGACTATAGAGCCAGACTCTCTGGGTTTGAATCCTGCCCTGCCATTTTACTTAGTAGGTACTTACACTGTTTGTGCCTCATATCCTCTTCTATAAAATGGGAATAGCAATATTACCTGCTTCATAGTTGTTATGAAGGTTAAATTAGTTAATATATGTAAGGTACTCAGAAGAGTATTAAGTGCTATGTGCATTAGCTTTATTGTCTTGACTTAGCCAGCTAAGCACTGGGCCTCAAACAACAAATTAATCTGAACAACTCAACCTCACTTTGTTGTACCACCGTGGGAGTTTGTATTTGCAAAAGAACCCAAGCATTAGATCATGGATGGGTTAAGCTGGTACTTTCTCAGCAGAATTCTAAGAAAGGTGTCCATGGCCAAGTAGGTTAAGGAATGGAATGGATAATTAAGGCTAAGGTTGAAATTTTTCTTTTTTTTAGGCAGGAAAAAGTTTACAGAATTCCACAGATAATTTCTTTCCAGGTTTATTTGAAAAGGGCACTCTATATCAGTTTAAGATTGTTTCTTGGAATATTTGTATTTTGTATGACTAGCACACCAGAACTGCAATGGGACGAATGAATTAAAATAAATGCTTCCCCTCTCTCCGGTCTGTCCCTCCAAGATGACAAAGAAAAGAAGGAACAATGGTCGTGCCAAAAAGGTCCGTGGCCACGTGCAGCCTATTCATTGCATGAACTGTGCCTGATGCGTGTCCAAGGACAAGGCCATTAAGAAATTCGTCATTCAAAACATAGTGGAGGCCACAGCAGTCAGGGACATTTCTGAAGCGAGCGTCTTTGATGCCTATGTGCGTCCCAAGCTGTATGTGAAGCTACATTACTGTGTGAGTTGTGCAATTCACAGCAAAGTAGTCAGGAATTGATCTCGTGAAGCCCACAAGGACTGAACACCCCCACCTTGATTTAGACCTGCGGGTGCTGCCCCACGACTCCCACCAAAGCCCATGTAAGGAGCTTAGTCCTTAAAGACTGAAGACAGACTATTCTCTGGAGAAAAATAAAATGGAAATTGTACTTAAAAATAAATAAATAAATAAATGCTTCCTATTATAATAGCTTTTTAAGGTTTAGATGTAATAATTTCACAACTCCTATTACATACAAGTGCATCCTTGGGATGCAAGTACTTACATGTTCAGCTTATTAGCATGTTGTTTTCAGTTCTGCTCAAAAAACATTCTCAACTCAGCTGACTCATTTTAATAGGGACAAAATTTTCACATTCCAACTTGAACAGGGAAGTGGTAACAATTGATTTAGATAGGAGTATCAGAATTTCATTTTGCTAAGGCCTTTTTTGTGCTTCTTAATGCAGTAACACTTTAGGATAGAATGAATATTGTTGGTATCACCACTTCTGCAAATGTGCTCACTCTTCTTTTCTGTTTATTCTAGAAGGTTTACTCACACACTAAATATGGGATGCACCAGTTTTTTATGCTGCAAGTTTGAAATAATACCATTTATTTCAACTACTTAAAAAATATGGGGCTAGGTGCAGTGGCTCATGCCTGTAATCCCAGCACTTTGGGAAGCTGAGATGGGAGGATTGCTTGAGCCCACAAGTTTAAGACCAGCCTGGGCAAAATTGTGAGACCCTGCCTCTGCAAAAAAAAAAAAAAAAAAAAAAAAAAAAAAAAAAAAAAAAAAAAAATTAGCTGCATCTATTGTCCCAGCTACTCAGGAGACTGAGATGGGAGGATCCCTTGAGCCCAGCAGATTGAGGCTGCTGTGAACCATGATCATGTTGATGCACTCTAGCCTGGGTAATAGAGTGAGAACCTATCTCAAAAGAACCAAAACCAAAACAAAAGGCTTTGGGTTATAACTCAGAATATGTGAGTTTGGTGAATTTCTTCCAGAAAAAGAAATATTCAATGTTTGATTACCTGCCTTTGAAAAAACTGGCTGTTCTTCTGAAAAGACCTTGCAAATAAAATTGCAAAGAATGCAGGTGTAGAGAGAACTGAGATAACAGCTTGTCCAAAAGGAAGCGAGAGTCATTTGTTGAGCAATTTAATGGATCTGAGGTACACTGATCTGATGAGGTACATGATCTGATGAGGTAAATTGCTAACCATTACCATAATGTCCTAAGGGAAACAGAAGGGATCGCATCAGGGCCCCCTGACTAAAACTGAAATATGTTATTGTTTCTGGCCACTCATGGACGGCAGACAGAGTGACATTGAGAGCATGCACCTGGGTTGGAATCTCAGCTGAGCCCCTTTATACAAGGGCTAGGCAAACCTGGGAAAGTTAGTCAAACAGTTGTTTGCCTCATCTGTACAATGGAGGGAATAATATTCTATTTTATTTGTAATAATACATATCATGTTAGCTATCTGTTGCAGCATTAGAAACTTAATGGTTTAAACAACACACATTTAAAATCTCGAAGTTTCTGAAGGTCAGCATTCCAGGCTTAGCAGGGTGTTTCTCCCTCAAGGTCTCTCACAAGGGTGCAATCAAGGTGTCACTCAGGACTCTGGTGATATGGTTTGGCTGTGTCCCCACCCAAATCTCATCTTGAATTGTAGCACCCATAATTCCCATGTGTTGTAGGAGGGACCCAGTGGGAGGTAATTGAATCATGGGAGCGGGTCTTTCCCATGTTGTTCTTGTGGTGGTGAATAAGTCTGAGATCTGATGGTTTTATAGAGGGGAGTTCCCCTGCTCAAGCTCTCTTTCCTGCTGCCATGTAAGATGTGATTTTACTCTTCATTTGCCTTCTGCCATAATTGTGAGGCCTCCCCAGCCATGTGGAACTGTGAGTCAATTAAGCCTCTTTCCTTTATAAATTACCCAGTCTCGGGTATGTCTTTATTAGCAGTATAAGAACAGACTAATACATCCGGTCTCATCTGGAGGTTTGACTGAGGGAAGATCCACTTCTAAGCTCACTCTGTGACTACTGGTAGGCCTCAGGCTGTCACTGGCTATTGACTGAAGACTAATTAGTTTCTTCCCTGGTGGACCTCTTCCTAGGGCAGCTCACAACACAACAGCTGGCTGTCCTCAGAGGGAGCCAGGGAGACAGGAGGAGGGAGTGAGGAAGATGGAAGTCAGTCTTCTTATAACCTAATCTTGGAAGTGACATCCAATCACTTTTGCCATATTATAGTCCCTAGAAGCCAGTCATTAGCTCAGCCCACTTTCAAGGGGAGAAGATGACACAGCAGGAGATGGGGACAATGAAGGCCATCTCAGAGGCTGCCGACCACATATACGAACACAGGCCTTTCCTGACTTCTAGCACCAGTCTCAGGAAGGAGTTTGTAGCCTCATGCAGGATTAAATAGTTCCTGGCAGAAATTAGCTCTGCCCAAGGATTAAGGACAGCTGAATTTGACACCTATAAAGCATCACTCTTGAATTCTTCCTGAATTCAGTAAAATGAGTCAGTTAATTAACTCATCGCTAGAGTTTTTTGCCATATCAGTATATTCCCAGTGGAACAATGAAGATTAACCTGAAAAATAAGTCATGGTTATAGCTATTGCATCCTGAATGGCACAAAACATCAAGGAAATATTCTTTCAGTATTCAAAAGCTATTATTCAGCAATGAAGTTGCTCATGCCATTGATGAACGAGTAAGGGAAGTTCCAGCACGGTAGTGCAGAAGCTGAAAGGAGGCTCACTTTAGTGAATGTAATTTTTATGAGGGTAAAAAATAGTTTAACAGATCATATATCAGATGAAATGATAATAAATTTATTGCGAAAAGGGTTAGCAGATTAGGATGCAATCTTATTTGTCAAATCATGCTTGAATTATACCCTAGCTTGACTATGCACTACGAATTTGGCAAAAATCAAGGAAAACATTCTATGAGAATCAGTTGGCTGTGTGGAATTTATAAGAGAGTATGAATATTCGATATTTTTTGTAAGTTGTGACCTCCTGATTGAAAGCATAGGCATCAGCTTACTACCATTCATTATCATGTTTGCACGAAGGCAATGATAATTGATAAAAACTCCTGAGTACTGGTGAGGAAAGTTCTGACGCTTTAGTAGTGCTGAAAGAAATATGGGCAGGGAGGTTCCAGATGTAGAGGAAGAAAAAAAATTTTCCTATACCCTCTTGGGTTTAGGGGCTGGGGCCTGTGACTTAAACTGACAAATGACAGATTAATAAAAAGTTATTTTATATGCACATAGGGAGGGAGGTGTCACAGAAAAGAACTGAAAACCCAAATCAGTCAGGCCTAAGAGCTTATATATCATCTTAACAAAGGGTGATAAATTCTGGAGAAATGATAAGACAAAGGAAAAGGGGCTTGGGCTTCTAATGGTGGTATATTTTGGGAGGGTAAATATATCGGGGAAGCTCATTGAAGGAAAGGGTTATGGTAGTAAGGTTTGTTTGTGCAGACTCATCTCAGTGTTGACTTACCAGCTCCTGTGACACAGGTTGTTCTCTGCCTTCCGGTATGGGAGAGGGGAGGGGAGATACTTTTACAGATGGAAATTTGTTATATTTACCCTACTTTTAGGCAGAAAAGGGGAGGGTAGAGAGTTCCTTCTGAATCTGCTATTTCTCAATTGCTTTAACTTCAAAATAATCCTATGCCAAAGTGGTATATTTGGGGGTGGTATATTCTGATCCCCTTCACCAGACTCTCAATCCATCACCAATTGACAGTCCTTAGACAAACTATTGTGCAAGCTCTCACATATCTTCAAGTGGAATTTGATGAATTCCAAAGTATGCTGTCAAAGGCATACTTTGGAAGCTGCCACAGCCTAGAGTCTAAGGAAGGCCTGAGCCAGGTAAAGTCTCCAGACATAGTATTGCAGAAATGACAGCACTCTGAGTGGGACAGTTTCCCAAGGTGTGTGGAGCCACATTTGGAAGGATCACATTGGTGTCTCGTGGGGCTGATGTGAAAGGACGTCTGCTGACATACGGGAGCTTCTGATCTGAGAAGAGCCTGCTGGGTGGTGGCAATGTCCACTTGGATTCTTTTGAGTACACACTGGCTGGGTTTTGGATACCAGCACCTCTGCCAATCCAGCATCAAGTGTTCTGTGCTTCAGGCACTCCACCATTCTTGTGATATCATTTTTCTAGGTCTTCACTTCTGCTGTGTCTACGCTTCTCTTCTTTACCTAAAGGCTCTGCTTACTCATGGATTCCATTGCCTGATGACATTTGCTCAATGGCTTTTCTTGCTTTGTCTTTCAGTTTCTGCTGCCAATAGGGAGTTCCCGTCTGCCTCACATTTAAATTTCTGCCTCCTCCCAATGTGGGGCAGTTGCCTGGCTCTCTTTACACAATCTATTTTGGGATGGTGGAAATATCTAGTTCTGGGTGTGCAATCATGTTGGACCTAATGCTACTACATTGGCTGGGCGTGGTGGCCCACACCTGTAATCCCAGCACTTTGGGAGGCCAAGGCAGGTGGATCACCTGAGTTCAGGAGTTCGAGACCAGCCTGGCCAACGTGGTGAAACCCCATCTCTACTAAAAGTACAAAAATTAGCCGGGCATGGTGGCAGGTGCCTGTAATCCCAACTACTCAGGAGGCTGAGGCAGGAGAATCACTTGAACCCAGGAGGTGGAGGTTGCAGTGAGCCAAGATCATGCCACTGCATTCCAGCCTGGGTGACAGAGTGAGACTCTGTCTCAAAAAAAAAAGAAAAAGCTACCACATCCTCCTTTCTTCCACACTCAGGGTGAGTGTGGACACCTCACAATTGAAGGGAGAAAAAGCACAATTCCTCTTGCAATAGAGAGACTCTTTTGCAAGACAGGTGCTATAATCTTGTGTAATCACATGCACATAATCACAATCACATACCTCGCATTGCCTTTACCATATTCCATTGGTTATAAATAAGTCACAGGTCCCACCCACATTCAACGGGAGGGGGTTACATAAAGGCATGCATATCAGAAGGGGGAACCATGGGGACCACTTTAAAGTCTATCCACCACATCTCCTTGGTCTCCTTCAGTCTGTGACTGTTCCTCAGTTTGTCCTTTTCTTTCATAACCTTGACTCTTTTGAAGAGTACTGATTGTTTATCTTGCAAAATGTTCTCCATCAGGTTAGTCTGATGTTTTCTCATTATTGGATTAAAGTTATGTATTTTTGACAAAATACCACAGAAGTGACATGCCCTTTTCATTACATCCTGTAAGAAGGTACATGATGTGCATGTTTTGTTTGTTATGTTAGCCTAGATCATATGGTTAAGATAAGGTATGCTGGGTTTGTCCACTGTGAAGTTACTTTTCCCCCTTTGTAAATAGTAAACATCTTGGGATAGAAACTTTGAGACTATACAAATATACTCTTTCTACTTGAATTTTTTCCCACAACTTTAAGATTTCATTGATAGATTGTGTCTGCAACAATTACTAATGGCGATTTATTGTTTCTCCCATTCCTTTTACATTTATTAACTGGAATCTCTCCAAAAGAAAGATTTATCCCTCTCTTCCACATATTCATGTATTCAATCACTTATTTACATCATTATGGACTCTTAGATGTCTATTTTATTCTGTGGGTTATAATTCAATACTATCATTACAGATTTTGTGGTTCTAGTTGTTCTAGCTTTGGCAACTGGGAGTTCTTTCAGGCTGGCTTCTGTGCCTTTTGATATACCCCATTCTTTTTTTGAATACTTCCTTACTTTCTAGCACAAGAGGCTCCAGCCTCATTTTGTATTCTTCCTGCCTCAGCCCTGGAATCAACTACTTCTCCAAGGAGCCCTGGTTTCTTTTATTGACGAATAGTATTTAGAAACCAAGATCTCAATACTGGGTGTGTTCATTGCTATTGTGATTTTATTGCTTTTAAACTCTCTCAGTGGACAGAGCTAGGAAATACAAACATGTATACCAGCACATTCATATACACATATCTACGTCTATATCTACCTATATGTATGTATATTAAAAACCTAGGCATTTATACTTGTATTAGTCCGTTTTCACACTGCTGATAAAGACATACCCAAGACCGGGTAATTAATACAGGAAGAAGGTTTAATGGACTTACAGTTTCATGCGGCTGTGGAGGCCTCACAATCATGGTGGAAGGCAAGGAGGAGCAAGTCACATCTTACATAAATGGCAGCAGGCAAAGAGAGAGCTTATGCAGGGAAACTCCCCCTTATATAACCTTCAGATCTTGTGAGACTTATTCACTATCATGAGAACAGCATGGAAAGACCTGCCCCCATGATTCAATTACCTCCCACCAGGTCCCTCCCACAACATGTGGGAATTCAAGATGAGATTTGGCTGGGGACACAGCCAAACCATATCAATACTGATACCTCTATTGCCTGTCTAATGCCACCAGGTTATTCTAGCTTTTCCTCCTTCTTCGTAATTTCTTTCGCTGACAGAAAGCTGGCTCTCATTACCAGCAATATACCTATTTATTCAAACCTAGTATACATATAAAATAGTTTCAGAATTGCTAACCCATATCTTTGTAAGGAAAAAATTTGTGGCTGGGCACAGTGGCTCACACCTGTATTCCCAGCACTGTGGGAGGCAGAGATGTGAGGATCACTTGAGTCCGGGAGTTCAAGAGCAGCTTGGGCAACATAGTTAAGACCTCACCGTTACAAAATATCAAAAAATTAGCTGAGCGTGGTGGTACATGCCTGTTGTCCCAGTTACTTGGGAGGCTGAGGTGGGAGGATCACTTGAGCCCAAGAGGTCAAGGCTGCAGTGAGCTGTGACTGTATTCCTGAACTCTAGCCTGGGCAACAGAGCAAAACTCTGTCTCAAAAACAAAACAAAACAAAACAAAACAAAACAAAATAGAAAATAAAGCAAATTTGTGAACTAGAGTGCAGTATTTGTGTACAGTTCTTTTTGTCTTTAGCCTTATAGTAACCAGTTAAAATACTGCTTTCTAAAGTAACTTGTTAGTTCTTTTTTTAACCACTCTCTTCAGTATGATCACATGATTCATCTATAATACATTTATGTTCATTTAAAAAAATTATTTATTTTTATCCTAAGCAAATTAACACAGAATGTGGATTTTTTTTTTTTTTTTGAAATGGAGTCTTGCTCCATCGGACAAGCTGGAGTGCAGTGGTACGATTTCAGCTCACTGCAACCTCCGTCTCCAGGGTTCAAGTGATTCTCCTGCCTCAGCCTCTCGAGTAGCTGGAATGACAGGCACCCATCACCGTGTCCAACTAATTTTTGTATTTTTAGTAAGAGACGGGGTTTCACCATGTTGGCCAGGCTGGTCTCAAACTCCTGACCTCAGGTGATCCACCCACCTTGGCTTCCCAAAGTGCTGGGATTACAGGTTTGAGCCACTGCGCTAAGCCTGGTGAAACACTTTTGAGAGAGACAGAAAAGAAGAAAGGCAAGCCACTGAATTAAAATAAAGTGCTGCCAACGTTGAAAGCCCTTCGAAATGCACACAATTTTTTCAGACTTGTTCCAGCTTACCAGCTACTTGAAACTATCAGTTAACTCTCTTTTCCTCAAACCCCAACATTCAAATTAAGGGAAAAAAAAGGTGATTTTATTAAGTAAATATATAATTTTATTATTTTAAGTAAAGATGAACTAAGTAACCAAATTGAGAAATATCTCCAAATCCATAGCATTTCTCCAAAACAAGAATGACAGAAGGGGAGTAAAGTGGGGAATTCCACTTATAATTTAATAGGAATTACTTATATATGAGACCTAAGAAATCTGACTAGATTGAGATACCATGTGGCAGAGAGGAAACTTGATCTTTATATCAATTCATCCCAAATTAATGTATAATTTACTTATTAACTATTTCAATCAGAAGCCTTATACAATATTAGGCGGTAGCTCAGGGGGCTTAAGAAAAAAAAAATCAGTAATTAGTCTGAAAGGGCAAATGGGCAAAAGAGTTCATTATAAAATTGAGCTGCTTCTTCCATGGGCTCCATGGTGGGTAGTAACAAGGATTTAGCACCCAACAACTGCCAGGTGTAGCTCCTGCCAGCTAATATTACGCATTATGCATGAGGAACCACAAACTGTTAGAGGCATTTGAACCAGAGTGACTCCATATTGAACAGGGGCAGGGTAAAAGAAGGCTGAGACCTGCTAGGCTGCATTCCCAGTAGGTTAGGCATTCTAAGTCACAGGATGAGATAGGAGGTCAGCCCAAGATACAGGTTATAAAGACCTTGCTGATTAACAGGATGCAGTAAAGAAGCCAGCCAAATCCCACCAAAACCAAGATGGCCATGAAAGTGACCTCTGGTTGTCCTCTGCTCATTATATGCTAATTATAATGCATTAGCATGCTAAAAGACACTCCCATCAGTGCCATGACAGTTTACAGATGCCATGGCGACCTTAGGAAGTTACCCCATATGGTTTAAAGGGAGAGGAACCCTCAGTTCCGGGAATTGCCCACCCCTTTCCAGGAAAACTGATGAATAATCCACCCCTGGTTTAGCATATCATCAAGAAATAACATTAAGTATCCTCCTTAGTCGAGGAGCTCAAGGTTTGGCTCTGCCTATGGAGTTGCCATTTTTTTATTCCTTTACTTTCTTAATAAACTTGATTTCACTTTGCACTGTGGACTCGCCCTGAATTCTTTCAAGAGATCCAAGAACCCTCTCCTGAGGTCTGGATCAGGATCCCTTTCCAATAACAAAACCAGTAATATTATTGATTAATCAATAACGTTAGAAAAAAATGGTATGGTCCAACAATATTTTTAAAGTATTAACTGATTTTTACACCAAATATTCCCCCATCCTGGACCCTCTACCATTCAAGCAAGACCATCCTGAGTTCAGCGTGGAGAGTGGAAAATATAACTAGAGTCTTCTGATTTTTGTTAGACCAAAGCCTTTAGATAAAAGAAAGAACTCAGACTAAACAAAGCATTTCGGAGAAAAATCACTCAGGCCTAATGAAAAGTTCTCCATTGGAATTAGAGCTAAGTGATCTTGCAGGGGAATTCCGAGGGTAGGATTCAGGAATGTGTGTTTTTACAAGCACTCCAGGGGATCTTTACGCACGCTGGAGCTGGAGAGACGGTGGGCTAGATGTTCCCCACCTGGCTGCACAGTAGCCTCACCTAAGGGTTTAATTTTTTGGTGCAGGGGCGAGAAAAGCCAGGCAGCAGATTTTTTTTTTTTTTTCTAAGCTTCCCAGGTGATTTTAATGACTAGTCAACCCTAAGAACTTTTCTTGGTAAAGTTTATTTGCTTCCCCACGACTCTTTTAGACGTTTTATTGCAGTCAAACATTATAAATGAATTTTTACAATATTATCCAAGGTGTCTCCCCAACACATATATTTCTTCTCTTTCTACTTTATTTTCTAAATTTATTGTACAAAATTAAAACATGGGTGAGTTGGAAGACCTACATTTAGGACAGTGTTTTGCAGATTGTGGTTTCTGAACCAGCAACATCAGCAGCCCTTGGGAACCTTTAGAAATGCAAATTCTGTGTCCCACTCTAGACCTTCTGAATGAGATGTGCTGGTGGGGTGGTGGGGTGGTGGGGCTGCAATCTGGATTTTCACAAGCCTTCTAGGGGATCTGGGGCACCCTAATTTTTGAGAACCAAGGATTCTCTTAATGAGAAACTTTTAAAACTACTGACGCCTGGGACCCACCCCTCAGATTTTGATTTTTGATTGAATCATTCCAGTGTGTGGTTCTTCCAACGACTGTAATATACCACAAAGTTTGAGAACTTCTGGGGCTTCAGTGAAGACCTTACCCCTGTCCAGAGCAGAGTTGTCTTTCTAAACTAAAAGAAAACCAAACAAAAACAAACAATAGGGATATCTCAAGGTTCAAGAATAAGTTTAACAGTGCATATAATAACAACTAGGCCCAATATTTATGTTTTTATAATGGGCAATAGTCTCCAATCTTTTCTTTAGGAGATTATTGCTATAATTGTAGTTGTATTTTTAGTATTCAGTGACTGAAAATAGCATGTAATCAATAAATGAATTTGATAACATTTTAAGTGAACACAAATGTTATTCTTCACTGTTTTTCAGAAAATGTTTAGCATCCATATAACCTCTTTTAAAATACTTTCAGGAAGCCAAAGATTCATGAGTTGGGACCATTAGCGTTTTTATATTTTTACCAGAGACAGCGAGAGAGACAGAGAGAACGAGTGCATGTGTGTCAGAGAGACAGCAAGATTTATTTTTATTTTTATTTATTTTTTACTGCTTATCTTTCCATGATGTGACCACCCAAATTTATGAAATCCTTCCAGAAGGTTTGGGACCCCCTAGTAAATTCAATTATGCTCAACATATTGTATTCTACTCTTTGGAAATTAACTATCCACTTAGAGTATCTATGATATTCCCTAATAATTATACTATTAAATGTATCATACCACCACATTTCTCAGGTATACTGGAAGATAGAGCACTTACAACATAACCCTATATGAGTTATTTTTAAATGAAATATTTCTATTCTTCCATACTTTAAGATAAATTTCTTCAATGACAACTCTACTTTCTCTGAATGTAATGTTTTGTGATATTTGCTCAATTTTAGGCCAAACATCACAATTTCTATTTCTTCCTTTTCCTTCTTCCTTCTTTCCTTTCTTTAAAATGTAATTCTTAAAATATAGCTAACTTTAGTTGGATATTTTTCAAATAAACCTCTAGTGACATAGATTAAGATCTATTTCACCTTGCTAAACACCTTTTAAAATAACCTGTTGGCTGGGCGCGGTGGCTCATGCCTGTAATCCCAGCACTTTGGGGGGCCGAGGCAGGTGGATCACCTGAGGTCAGGAGTTTGAGACCAGCCTGGCCAACATGGTGAAACCCCATCTCTACTAAAAAGTACAAAAATTAGTTGGGTGTGGTGGCAGATGCATGTAATCCCAGCTACTCAGGTGGCTGAGACAGGAGAATTGCTTGAACCTGGGAGGCGGAGGTTGCAGTGAGATCGCGTCACTGCACTCCAGCCTGGGCGACAAGAGTGAGACAATTCTTAAAAAAAAAGAAAAAAAAAAGAACCTGTTGAAGTCTGAAAAACTCAGCCAATTAGTTATTAATAACTGAAGTAAATGATTTGTCTGACATTAAACAAGTGTAACTGTTGTTTTCGCTAAGGTTTGTTGAATTTTGAAGTATATCTCCATAAATACCCAAATTGTTTCTCCTTTATGCAATGTGTGAGTACACTAATAAATATACTTTTTTTACGTGAATACAAAAACTAGATAATAACTTCAAACTGGATTCATTCAAGAAATGGCAGAAGAGCATTACTTTTGCCTGGGAGTAAGGATTTTTCCACTGGCCACCTAAGATCTCTGGGCAGCCTTTTGGTGATAGGGTCAGTGCTGCCAGTGCAATGTTTGCCTATCACTTTTTCTCTGTGTACTATACCTGGGTATTTACTGATAGGCTGGAGTACTTCAGGAAGGAAGAACCAGAAATAGCAGGGTAAGAAGTGAATACCTCATGCAGCCCGAGGCATCAGCTGAAGCAGCTTTGGCCATCAGTAGGGTGACAGATCACCCTCCTGTTCAACTTCCTTTTAACCTTGAAAACTCAGGCTAAATATCACCAGTCATAGGATCTCTTCATAGTCCAGCAGTCATCACCTCTGTTTTTATGTACTTTTTAAATTACTCTAAATATCCTTTTATTCCAGCAATTAATCACATTTCCTTAGAATTATTTGTGTACAGCTGGGCACGGTGGCTCATGCCTGTAATCTCAGCACTTTGGGAGGCCGAGGCGGGTGGATCACGAGGTCAGGAGTTCAAGACCAGCCTGACTAAGGTTGTGAAACCCTGTCTCTACTAAAACTACAAAAATTAGCCAGGTGCGGTGACAGATGCCTGTAATCCCAGCTACTCGGGAGGCTGAGGCAGGAGAACCGCTTGAACCCAGGTGACACAGGTTGCAGTGAGCCAAGATGGTGCCACTGCACTCCAGCCTGGGCAACAGAGTGAGGCTCCATTTCAAAAAAAAAAATCAGAATTATTTGTGTACATCTCCATCTCCCACATCAGACCATGGGCACCTCAGGACAGTGACTTCTCCTTCTTGGACCTGGGAAGTGTCCCTAATTACTACTGAACAAATGGGAGGCCAGCCACATGGCTAACACACTCCGAAGGGCATGAAGAAGAGAACGTGCAAAAGCACGCTGCTACCTGATTATATGTGGTAGGTCCTCAGTTACAACTTTCCCTACTCTTCAATTGCATTTTCTAAAATCAGCAATACAGATACTTATAATTTTCTGAACATACCATGTTATTTCATGCATCTCTCTGCTTTACAATTTTCAAGCTTACACACACATCCATCTTACAGAGGGGAGTGCTGACAAAAACCCTACCACTTGTGTTTTTTGTTTGTTTGTTTTGTTTTGAGACAGGGTCTCACTCTGTCACCCACGCTGGAGTGCAGTGACACAATCTTGGCTCACTGCAACCTCCGCCTTCTGGATTCAAGTGATTCCCGTGCCTCAGCCTTTCAAGTAGCTGGGATTACAGGTGCGCACCACCACGCCTGGCTTTTTTTAAAATTTTTTTGTATTTTTTGTAGAGACGGGGTTTCACCGTGTTGGCCAGGCTGGTCTTGAACTCCTGACCTCAAATGATCCACCCGCCTCAGCCTCCCAAAGTGCTGAGATTACAGGCCTGAGCCACCATGCCTGGCTCCTACCATTTTTTAAAGTCTCAGTTCATATATGATCTTTCCCCAAGAAAATCTGACATCAGTCCCCACTCTCCTCCCAAGGTTGAACTAGATGTCCCTCCTTTGTGCACTCACAATCTCCTTTAATTTACTGACCAGTTTAATCCATATTCTGGGTTTCTTTGAGAGAAAACAATGACTGATGCCCACAGTGAACTCAATGTTCTTCAACAGGAGGATGCACTGAAATGCCCAGACACTTCTTCACCTAAGCTGCGTGTTTGCTGGGATCCATTGTTTGTTCTCAAACCTATTTCTGCCAGTCGTACTTGTTAGTTTAATTAAGTAATTTAACTAGATGTCACTTGAGTGAATAGCACATGAGTGAAAGAGTTGTGTTTTCTATGAAAACAGATGGATGCTTTGGAAAGATAAGATGCTAGAAATCGTACTTTTGAATGAGCCATAGGCAAAACTACAGACAGGATAGGGGAGGGGTATGTAGTAATCTTGAAAGAATCTCCTTTCAGATTTTTTTAAGTGCCCTTAATTTCTAACTTCACTTTATAAAATTCCAACCTGGAAATTGTTGAAGATGCCTAATGAAAGTAGTTTATGAAGTTCCTATCAGTAGACTCATGTCACAATTAGAAGCCTTTGGCCCCATATCAAAAGATTAGTGACGTGTATGTGTTAAGTCAAAATAAAATGTCTAAGGCATGCACGTATCATCTTTACCTGTTCAACCAATTATGTATTGAAGTGATGGGGAACCAGTGGGCGGCAGGAAGGGAGTCGGGTATCTTTCTCTTTCAATAGATTGTGAGTTTCTTGAAGACAGGGACCACATCTTGCTCATCTAAGTAGTACCTGTGCCTGAGAAAAGTGTTCAGATCCTCAAAGATTTTCACTAAGTGCTCTTCACCCAGTGGAATGCTGCACTTATTTTTGTTTAGGGGGTTTCAGGTCTTGTTCAGCATTTATGCATTACAACCACGAGGGGGCAATATAGTCACATTCCTTGTAATGACCACCCAGTGGTGTTGCCTCCACGTTAGAGCCCCTAATATGATGAGCCCCCCTAAAATGCATTGGAGAAACTGTGGCATAAACATCTCACCAACACTGGCATTCTTTGTATATCCTTCTCCTGTTTATTTGGAGGAGTTGACTGATTCTATCTTTTCTAAACAATATAAGGATCAACTAGCAATCACCATTTTATTAAGTTATGCAAGTGCAGACAGCTTCTGGAAGGAAGAAATGAAAATGAGATGGTGGAGAAGGGGTGGTACAGGGGAAACCTTCATGTAAATGTTATCAGTAGTATCAGGGATGATCAATTGGCACAATGTTATCTATGGTGTTTTTCAGGGAAGTCTTGGAGGGAACACTACTGAAGAAGTTACAGATTCTGTGTCTATATGAAGCAGAAGACCTCAATCCTTCCTCTGTCCCCTGAATGAGTCTTCTCCCAGTTCCTATATGTCCGAATCATAGGCTCCGAAAATTAAGTTTCTCGTTGCTCATATCTTTTCAGAAGGAATGTCCTCTCCTAAGAGCAAGAGGGTAGTGAGATGAAAAAGAAATCTATTGCCTTTAAAAGGAAAGACCCTGAGAAAATAAAAAAAGAGTGTTTTGCTTTTTAGTAAACTGCTGTGCTGAATCACGACTAAATTGGTGATCTGTGACATCAAAGGGTCATAAACAGCCTAGCTTGAGTCCAAAAGAACTGAGGCCTCCATTTTCACAGTAAAAGAATGCCTATTCCAAAATAATTTTTGAGAATGAATGAAATCTAAAACAAGATAAGCAGTCCTGTTTACAGTTATCATGGGGTATTGAAATAGTTGGCGTGGAAGTTGGGTGACTCAGTGGGCAGGACATTTGGGGTCAGAGCACTTGGGAAGTCAGGCTGACCTGCGTTAAAGCCTCAGCTCTGCTCCTAACTAGTGACTACGGTCAGATGCCCTCCCTTCCCTAAGCGCCAGTTTTACATTGCTCATATGTAAAATACAGGAATGGGGAAATTGGACAAATGATCTCACAACCTCTCCCAGATCTAAACAATCATATATTTCTTTTCCAGGAAGTAGCTTACGTATTTGTCCTTAACTTCCTGTTTCAAGAAGACAGCTTTTTGTTTTTAGATGCAATATAAAAACAAAATAACAATCACGCAAATTGCTATTTTTCTTTTTTTTTTTTTGAGATGGAGTTTCACTCTTGTTACTCAGGCTGGAGTGCAATGGCGCAATCTCGGCTCACTGCAATCTCTGCCTCCCGGGTTCAAGCGATTCTCCTGCCTCAGCCTCCCAAGTAGCCGGGATTACAGGCATATGCCATCACATCTGGCTAATTTTGTATTTTTATTAGAGACAGGGTTTCATCATGTTGGTCAGTCTAGTCTCGAACTCCTGATACCAGGTGATCTGACTGCCTCGGCCTCCCAAAGTGCTGGGATTACAGGCATGAGCCACCGTGCCAGGCCGCAAATTGCTATTTTTCAATTCACATTTACTTTACCTTTTCTTAGGGCAAGATCTGGCAGAGTCTAAGATATGGTGGAAACTAATATAAAAGGATTTTTCCAATGAAATAAGAATAGGATGTTGCTATTTAAACTTCATATACATTTAAAATGTGCTAGTTTGTATGCAGAACAGAAACTCAAACTCAGTATTTGCCCCTAGCTGCTTACATTGGAAGGCAGTGGTGGCAGTTTACTCAAAATGAGTAAGAAAATAAATCAGCTTACAACTCTAGACTGTACAGACATGCAGGCTGCCTTTTACGTTTCTGACTCCTGATTTATTTTTCTTTCCCACCTTCCCACGGCGAAGGGCAGTCAATGAATACTCAGATCAAGTGTCTGTCTGGAAAGCTGGCAGTCTTCCAGAAATACAATTAGGTATGAAAGAAAAGTCCCATCCCTCACCTCCATAGAATATTACTCCAACTCTTTCACAGCAGGAACACTAGAGTGGGAATGAGAAGTGTGGCCCTTGTGTGTTACGTTACTTCTTTTGAGAGTATGGTCATATCCATCCGTTTGTAGCATTACACAAGGAGTCAGTTAAGGTACAAGGGGTGTGAGACCCAGTGACTGCCCCCAAAGTGCTTGTCACTAGAGCTTCTCTCCCTCACCTCTACTTGGCCTTGACATTTGGGTTCGTTCAGAGGGTTGCCCCATACTGCCTTTGGGTTCGTTCAGAGGGTTGCCCCATACTGCCTTCTGGTAAAATCTTGGCGCCCTAGGCCTAAGCCTGCTCATCTTGTGCCTCCTTTTCCTCCTCCTCAGGGCCCATTCCAGTGGAACAGAAGTGCTACTTTGGGGGTGGACTGAAACAAGTTGCTGGGCTTCCATTGGCCATTGCCACTTGCTTGTCGTTGTGAGGAGGGGCCGTGCCTCCACAGGCCCATACCTGTAACCTGACGATACTGTTGTGAGCGGGAATGGAGGAAGTGCATGGAAGCCCCTCAGCACGATGCATAGTGAACAGACAAGCTGTGAACCTTGGGAGTTATCACCATGTGTGATGATGCTGGTGAAGAAAGCCTGCACTGAGGAGGCTGTCAGCCTGGGTTTGAATCCCCTCATTTGGAATATAATCTTGGCAAAGTCTGAAAGCCTCAATTGCTCGTTTGTAAAACTGGAAGATAGTAGGACTTGCTGCCCGGGGTCGGGGCAGGATGGAGGGGGCCCATGAGAATTAAGGCAGAGCCCAGCGGAGTGCATTGTAAGGATCCATGAGTGTGAACCTTCGTTTTTACTACTGCATATGAGGATCCTGCCAACAAACCTGGCGGCTTCAAGCATCCTTGCCCTTAACCAAATAAGCTCTTAGGTCCTAGAGGCAGGAAGACTTCCTTGAAGAGGCGCGGGAGGCTGGTGAGGGGAGTGGAGGACGCTCTGGGACCCTCTGGGGGTGGGGCGGGCGGGGTGAACTTGACCCCAGGCCGCGTGCCGGGCGTGCCATCTGCCGCTCCGCTGCAAGGTCTCGCCCGGGACCGGGGCTGGCGGAGCGCGCGCCCGCGAGTAGGGGCCGGGCCGGGGACCCCGCCTAGGCGGCGGCGGCCGGGTCCCCAAGGCTGGGCGCTGCTTGCGGAACCGACGGGGCGGAGAGGAGCGTGGCGGGAGGAGGAGTAGGAGAAGGGGGCTGGTCAAGGGAAGTGCGACGTGTCTGCGGAGCCTTTTTATACCTCCTTCCCGGGAGTCCGGCAGCCGCTGCTGCTGCTGCTGCTGCTGCTGCCGCCGCCGCCGCCGCCGTCCCTGCGTCCTTCGGTCTCTGCTCCCGGGACCCGGGCTCCGCCGCAGCCAGCCAGCATGTCGGGGATCAAGAAGCAAAAGACGGTAGGCTTCCAGGCGCCGGCTTCCCTCCCCGCCACCGCACTGCACGCGCCGACCCCCAACCCCCAATTCCCCGGCACTTGGGTCCCACCCTCCCCGGGAGGGGGCGTCGGGAGGAGGAGTAAGAGTGGGGCACGGAGGGAAGCAAGAGAAAGAGGCTCTGTGTGGAATTCCCGGGGCAGTCCTCGCCCCGCAGCCCCTCTCCACCCCGCGACTCTGGGAATCTGCGCTCCTTGGGGTCGCCGCGCCCGCGAGAGACCTCCCGAGCTTCTCAAGTGGGTCCGGATCTAGATCCAGGACCAGGGACAGGAAATCCCCTTTCTTTCCCAAGAGCTCTTCCAGACCCGCCTTTTCTTCTGTAGGGTCTCGGAGCAGATCGAGCTGACTCCCGTTCTGCCAGGTCTGGTCGCTGGGGTTTTGTCTATGGGAACTTCCTTGGAGTGGGCTTTAATGACGGACTTTCATAGAGGAAACTGCAATTATCAAAGCAAACTGGAGGAAATTGCATTTCTACACTGGCGGGATTTAGCCCTCTAGCTTGATTTCGGCATTGGGTGGCATCTCGAGTTCAGTAATGAGGGGTGAGGGTGCCCCTCGGTTTGGTGGAGTAAGATGAGGGGACTGTGTTGAGGAGGCACACTTTTACCCAGAATTAATAATCTGAGCTGTCCTCCTTTAATGGGAAATATGAGGGCGTGTCAAAGAGAAAAGTTTCTTTCCCAGCAACATGGGCACCTATAAATTTTGCATTCTTAAAAATGGCAGCAGTTCTATTTGTCAATTATACCCCAATAAACTGAAAAAAAAAAAAAAAAAAAAAAAAAAAAAACCGGGAGCAGTAATCATAGACTCTTAGAGTTGGATGGCGCCTTCTAGACAGCACTGGGGCCACGTCAGATGTGGTCAGCAAGCCTTGATAAAATCCTACTCAGCAGTTTGGCCGCTGAACATTCTATCTTCAGCCACCACCCTGCAAGCCTCAGATGATTGTACTGGTTACTGAATGGGTTGACCTCTCTCTAGTAGATAGACGTGCAATGGACACATAGTAGGTGCCTGATAAATGTTTATTCTTATATAATGTGTATTACCGAAATATCTTTGAGGTGTATTTGTGGTGGGCCGGGGAGAGGTTTAAAAAAAAAAACAAAATATAAAGCCAAGAAGTGGGGAAGGAGTGTGGAGGGGCCATGCAGGGCTAGAAGGGTCATTTGAGCAGCAAGAGAACAGGGTGGGGGCTCTGTGGCTCCAGGGACCATACTGGACCAGCAGGAGGGTCC
This sequence comes from Homo sapiens, assembly GCF_000001405.40. Classification (NCBI taxonomy): domain Eukaryota; kingdom Metazoa; phylum Chordata; class Mammalia; order Primates; family Hominidae; genus Homo; species Homo sapiens. The sequence goes on from NC_000010.11 coordinate 87,661,286, forward strand.
AGGGTGTAGGTGGCATCAATTTGGGAAGGGACATTTATCAAAATCCAGCTGCCTTTCTCAGGAGTAATTTTTAAGTGGGGGACTCTCAGCGTTGTAACATATTTTTGAAATAATAAATGAAAATCACTTGTATTTTGTTCCTATTTAATGCGATTAATTTCTGTAAAATCCTAAATAGTGTCTTCTAAATGGCAAGCCGCTGTGCCAGTAGCTTTTTATATCAGTGGGGTTTTAATTCCCACCTTCCTGCTTGCATCAAGAATTCCTTCTCAGTTGTGATGGGGGACTTTGTCAAGCATTAGAAAGGGACGAGGTGGTCTCTCCTCTTGATGCCTCCAGTCGGCAGGAGCCCAGGAAGAGGAGGGTTTGAGAACAGGGTCATTACAAATCAATTGCGGGGGCTCTGCACAGTCAGAAGCAGTGAGAAATTTGAGGGCCGGAGGGTTTGGTTTTTGTATTTACACATTCTGAACCTTCTATTTTTTGTTAGGTGGGTGTATGTGTGTGTCTGTTTTATACAGCATTAAATTAACTCCTGAAACAGCTAACTGAAATAGAACTTTTCTGAATTTTGATTTAGTCTAACGCAGTTATAACCCAGGCACCAACCCAAGTTCCCAAAAGGGCTAGATAGGTACTATCGGTACTATTTACAGCAAGCCAGCTGTAAATGCATGTGGAATCTCTCAAGCTTTGAATGTTCATTCAAAATGTGTTTTGAAACCTTGCAGGCCAAAGCAAAATCTGTCCGCTTGTGTGACCTCTGAACTAATCAATTGTTTGATAAGTATTGCTGACCTCACAAGCTAGCCTAGGAGTGAGACTGAGCTGATCTTTTACGGTCTTATAGGAATCATCACATTGTTTACTGCACTGTCAACAGAGGACAGTTAATTCACACAGCAGCCACTACAGTAACTTCAAATATTTGTTGAGCACCTACTGTATGCCAGGTGGTATACTGGGTGGGGGAGGCGGAAAAGGAGATACCTCTTTTCCAGGTTTTTTTGGCCACACTCTCTGGATGAATATTGCCTTTCAGTTCAGACCACTCTAGGAAGAGGAGATAGTTTTGGTTTAAATGAGAGAGTGTAGGATGACTTTTTCATAAGCTTTAGAAAAAATAAATTAAGTGTTCTTTTATAAAGGAAGGTAGCACATTCCTTCTGTTTTATGCATCTTTACCATGGAAACCAAAGAAACAGCTACCAGTCACATTCATCCCTTCATCATTTCCACCCCTCACTTACCTCCAACCCTGGCTACCCTCCCACCCCCACCCCCTATACACACACATAGACACCTAGGAGAGGGAAAGGGACAGACTGCCTCTAGGGGACTGGAAAGAAGGGAAGGCAAAGGCCTGGGCCTTTCCTCTTACATCATTTCCTGGATTAACATTTTTCAAGGCCCACAGACAGTGCTGTTATGTTCTGGAGACACCCAATCTGAAAACATTGACTGAGATATTAAGTTATTTCCGAAGGATCAAATAGGAAAACAATTGGAAAGGAGTGAAAAGATACTGAAAACCACAGCGCTCTCCATAGATGTAAGGGATTATCAACCTTTTCCTTATTTATTTTCTTTCTTTCTTTTTTTTTTTGAGACAGAGTCTCACTCTGTCACCCAGGCTGGAGTGCAGTAGCGTGGCATGATCTCAGCTCACTGCAACCTCCGCCTCCCGGGTTCAAGCCATTCTCTTGCCCCAGCCTCCCAAGTAGCTGGGATTACAGGCACCACCATCATGCCCTGCTAATTACCTTTTCCTTATTTTCAGAATTGTGCACAGTATAACATTATTTTTCTAGAAGTAGCCACTTTTTTTTTTTTTTTTTTTTTTTGAGATGGAGTCTCGCTCTGTCACCCAGGCTGGAGTGCAGAGAAGCGATCTCGTCTCACTGCAACCTCCGCCTCCCGAGTTCAAGCAATTCTCCTGCCTCAGCCTCCCGAGTAGCTGGCACTACTGGTGTGTACCACCACGCCCAGCTAATTTTTGTATTTTTAGTAGAGACGGGGTTTTGCCACGTTGGTCAGGCTGGTCTCGAACTCCTGACCTCAGGTGATTCACCCACCTTGACCTTCCAAAGTGCTGGGATTGCAGGCTTGAGCCACTGCCCCCAGCCAGAAGTAATTACTTTTAAAACTATATAAAGACACTACCGAAGGCAAGACATGAATTCTAGATGAGCAACTACTGGAAGGAGGGACAAAAAGCATTTCCTAGAGGCCAGACACTCAGACATCTCATCCCCACAGTAGCTCTCATCTCAGGAAACAGCTTTGTCTTCAGGGGAGGAGAAATACCAGGGGCAGGGCACTACTGAAATTCAGGTCTGTCCAGCTTCAAAACTCATGCTCTTGACCCCCTCCGTACTTCTGTTTCAGGATGTAACTGCTCTGGCCCAAAGTTTTCTCATCTGTAAAATGTGGGTAATAATAACTTTCCCCTTACAATTGTCGTGAAAAGTAAGTAACTCCTAAAAATTGTCTTGCTCAGTGCCAGACCCAGAGTTAGTGCTTCATATGCAGTAGCTATTTCATTTGTATTAAACTATACTGTCATGGTTTGGCATACATAAAAAGAAAAAACAGCACACATCATACTGTTTTGAAGACTCAGTAAATGACAACAGCCAGAATATTTTTGTTTTGTTTTGAGACAGGCTGGAGTGCAGTGCTGCTATAATGGGTCACTGCAGTCTCGACCTCCTGGGCTCAAGTGATCCTCCTGCCTCAGCCTCCCAAGTACCTAGTACTACAGGTGCACACCATCATGCCTGGCTAACTTTTAAAGTTTTTGTTGTTGTTGTTTTGGTAGAGATGAGGTCTCACTCTGTTGCTCTGGCCAGTCTTGAACTCCTGAGCTGAAGAGATCCTCCTGCCTTGGCCTCCCGAAGTATTAGGATTGCAGGCTTGAGCCACTGTGCTTGGCCAGCCAGAATATTTAATAAGGAAAAACAAATGCAGAAATATAGAGGTGACAATTTGAATTCTTATTGTGATAGGCTGGATAGAAGACACTGGTTGACCTCTGGTAGAGGTACCAGAGTATCAGTGAGTTTTTGCCAACAACTTTGGCCAAGAAAGATAATCCATGCATAGAGTAAATATTGGACTAACTTCTCTCCACCCTTCCTGTGCCTTCAACTATTCCTATGTGCACCTTAAAATTAGTGTTTCCCAATTCATGCCATCGCCATTTATTAGATCATCTGTTTGGACTTTGGTGCGGTTAAAAGATAAATGTGGTTAACTCAGTTATATGTCTCTTTGAGATAGTTATCTTTGTCTTTTATCACTTTTCTGTTGATGCATGTGGCTCTGTGGTTTGCTGAGGGGATAATTAGGCTTACCTCTAACATGGAACTTTTAGGGAATTAGAGTCTGGGAAAGGCATCAATGATGTCAATCTCAGTCCTAGGAGATTTCTGTTTATTTCAAAATCTATCACTAAATAGTAATGGGCACTCATTAGTCTTTGTGTTTGGAAGTCTTAGGAAAATGCAGAAACTAAAGGTAAATAAACATAAATATAACACTAGTTCAACTGTTCTATTAGCCCCTAGGTGATTTGTTCATATGACACTTGGAACAGCTTATATGCCCAGCACCTGACAGTGATCCTGGCACAGATTAGGTGTTCAATATTCATTGAATAAATGAATGAGTAAATGGCTAGAGAATTCATTAGAGGATGTATTTGCTCTTAGGATCCACATTTTTTCCTAGATTCCTCACTCTCCCCTCTTCTCTTTGTGTGCTTGGTTATTTTTGACTGGGTATTTGTCATTACTGCTGAAAAATTGCTTGTAGAGATTCCTTCAGGCCTAGGATGAATGACTTTGTTTTCAGAGAGGATTTGCTTTTGTTTCTGCCAGGTGTCTGGCCCCACTCCTAGCCTAGGACTCCTTTAATTGAATTTACCACTTTTTTTTTTTTTGGAGACAGAGTCTCGCACTGTCACCCAGGCTGGAGTGCAGTGGCGTGATCTCAGCTCACTGCAAGTTCCGCCTTCCGGGTTCACGCCATTCTTCTGCCTCAGCCTCCCGAGTAGCTGGAACTACAGGTGCCTGCCACCACGCCCGGCTAACTTTTTGTATTTTTAGTAGAGACGGGGTTTCACCGCGTTAACCAGGATGGTTTTGATCTCCTGACCTCGTGATCTGCCCGCCTCGGCCTCCCAAAGTGCTGGGATTACAGGCGTGAGCCACCGTGCCCGGCCTGAATTTACCACTTTTTAAAGACTTAGGTGATGTGAATTTGGATTGCTATTTTGCACATGAGAGCCAGCTTGTGAATACAACTTCCCAGGGACCACCCTCCCCTTTTATACTCACTTTCTATGCCAAGACAATTGTCCTTGCCGTCTCTCTGAGTGGGAGGTAGGTTTATTCTGGTTCACCCTTATTTTTAGAGTGTAGGGTTTAGGAGCCCAGCTTAACTTGAGGAAGACCTTTTTTTATTTTCACTTGAGTGGGTTCTGGGCTTTAATTTCTGTTCCACCTCTCTCAGTGAAGCTGTCAAAATCAGTTCATGTATGCTCCTCTCAGCAAATATGCCCCATAAGGATAAAAGTGCCTCTCTGCTTACTTATCTCTTTGAGTTCTTGCTTTCTTCCAGATTTTGGCCTAGTAGTTTCTTCCTATTTTGTCAGCTATTTGTTGTTTTAATTTTTTTTTCTTTTTTTTTTTTTAGATGGAGTCTTGCTCTGTCACCCAGGCTCAAGTGCTGTTGGCGTGATCTTGGCTCATTGCAACCTCCACCTCCCAAGTTCAAGCGATTCTCACGCCTCGGCCTCCCTAGTAGCTGGGGTTACAGGTGTGCACCACCACACCCGGCTAATTTTTGTATTTTTAGTTGAGACGGGTTTTCACCATGTTGGCCAGACTGGTCTTGAACTCCTGACCTCAAGTGATCTGTCTGCCTTGGCCTCCCAGAGTGCTGGGATTACAGGCATGAGCCACCATGCTCATCCTGTTGTTTTAAATTTGATTATTTTATGTTATTACTAGCATTTATAGTTATTTTCAGTGGAAGCATCAATCTGAATAACCTACCCATCACTGCTGGAAACAGAGACCTCTACCCTTTCTAGATTCCTGTGAATCATTAACATCTCCTATCATACCTTACCAGACCTGTGTCGCTGTCATAAAAGGAGTACTTTTTAAACATGAACTCTAGTCAGATAGCTAGTCAAAAATCTTTGATTTAATCCTTTTTCCCTAGGATGTGCTACAGTGTGGAGTGGGGAGTGCTCACCTTGTCTTGGTGGTCTCTTCCTATGCAGACATCCTTAGAGATGTGCATTGTCCTGTCCAATCCTTAGTGTTGGTCCAATTTCAAGTGCGTTCTTGTCTGAAAGGCCCCTTCAATTTAAACAACTCTCCTTACTTCTTTCATGCTCTCCTGGGTACCCTGAGGCCGTTTTGTTGCTCCAGCACAACTCTGAGGTCGTGGGGTATGAATTTGGTGGGACTAGTTAAGGTCCTTGACATGTCCCCACTACTCCCAGGAGTGTAGGAACTAGGTTCCTACTTTGCTGTGACCATGCAGGGACTTGGAGGAGCTCTGGGGGCTGCTGAAACCCACCCTCTTTTCCTCTGAGATCAGAAGCACATCCAATGCCCTCTGCTTTCAGAGCCCCCAGGGCTATTTGGCCTCCCTCTTCCCCAAGCTCAGCACCAGGGGCAGGACACTACTCCCTGTTTCAGACTCAGACTGGTACCCAAGCTTGCTTTGCTTCTCTTTTAATAAAGATTAAAGCTTTCCCAAAAGGTTAATTGGTTTATCATAAGCATTGAATTTGTTATAAATTTTGTCTTCTTGTTCCTTTTTCCTGTCTTTTTGATCACCACATTTTTGAAAAATTTACAATAAATTGGCTGGGTGTGGTGGCTCATGCCTGTAATCCCAGCACTTTGAGAGGCTGAGGTGGGCGGATCACTTGAGCGCAGGAGTTTGAGACCAGCCTGGGCAACATGGCAAAACCTTGTCTCTACAAAAATGCAAAAAATTAGCCAAGTGTGGTGGCGCGGGCCTGTAGTCCCAGCTATCTAGGAGGCTGAGGTGGGATCGCCCCAGTACTGGAGGTCAAGGCTGCAGTCAGCCATGATCATGCCATTACACTCCAGCCTGGGTGACAGAGTGAGACCCTGTCTCAAAAAACCTCAACAAAACAAACAAACAATAAATTGGTGCACAAGATGAAAATATTTTTTCTCTGTACAAAAGAGCCACTGTATTAAAACTTGAAATATAAGTTGCCTCTGATGACACGTGGTGTATAAAATGGATTCCATCAGTTGACTGATGTGACTTCCTTTAAAATCTTATCAGCATCCCTTTCTGCATTTCAAATTTACTACTGAAGTTGATTTTGCTGTAATTGATATTGTGCAAGCACGACTGTAATATAAACATGACAAACTCAATCTGTATACCATCAAATATTAACTTTTGGCAATAAATGCATATAGCCTGTGACAATAAAGATTTTTTAAAACAGTTACATAAATATATTATGTCAAATGCTGCATCATTCATAGTGATAATTTCTCTGCTAGTCAATATTTGGTTTAAATGTCTAGTTAACACCTGCTTTATGTTTTATTATTGATTTATTATGAAAAGTATTGATTTTTATCCACCAAGCATCTATATCCAGTCTCATACCACAATTACTTTTTTAAAACAATTTTATGTTGGGTGTGTGCTTTTAAAGACATTTGTAGACTTTATGGATTTAAACTACCTGGAAGAAAATCCGAGATTCTATCCCTATAAACTTTATTCTTCTACACCCTCCTCCAGTCATTATTAATTTATGAATAATTCATGCCTTCCCAATTTCCAGCAAAGTAAGCAACTCAAGCATTAGTGATGATTTTATTTTCATACATTTGCTAGTGTTAAAAACCTGAATTAACTTTTTGGCCCTCTGCTGGGGGTCCCATGTGTATTACTTTGTTTCCTTAAGCTCTCTAAAATCCTTTCCTTTTTCAGTTCCTGTCAAAATCCTCACGTATATATTTGTTTACCTCACTCACTCAACAATATTTATTGAATGACCAAACCAGGATCTCTATTTGTCATAATTAACAATAGCTACCAAAGCCTTATATTCTTTAATTATAGTTTTTAGTCTATTCACTGTCTTTAAGTCTATTCTAAACACAGCATTTGCCTTTTCTAATTGAAGCACTCCACCCGCACCTTTATATTATCAACGTTCTGCCCAGTAAGTCTTGCAGTGGCCTTGAGCTAAAAGCAATAAAATTCCCAATTGACTTTTCTTACATTTCCTCATTCATTTTTCTACTAAGTTGAACATTATTTACTCTATATTAAGGCTGTCTCTACTTTAAAAATGTGTGTGTGTGTGTGTGTGTGTGTGTGTGTGTTTAAAAATAATTCTAGTATTTTACTTCTGGAAGGAAAATTAGGAGGTCACCTTTAAGCTCTTTATATGACAGTTGATATACAGCGTTAAGAGCTGTGCCAGGATCTATGGCCATTCTTTGGCTTGACTGGGTGGGGATACTTCCACTAAGCTAGAACTCTGATCACCCTACCACACGCTTACCACTTCTCTCTTTATCACGTGCTCTTTGAAAGTGACCCTGCCTATTTTCTACAGCTTTATTTCCTCTTTCATTCAACAAGAAATATTTTCCATAAACAAAACTTCCTCCCAGTTGGTTTATTACATTCTGACTTAGCTTTAGCATTTTGTTGTGGCATTCTGGGGACAGAAAATACAGACCAAAAAGCAGTATTTGAAAGATGTAACTTGACCGTTTTGAAATATTTTTGATTGGCCGGACTGTTTCTCTTTAGAAAATTCAACCCTTTCCCACCTCACTCAGTCTTCCTTAAACCTTCTCAAGTGGTTTAATTGTTTTATTAAAAAAAGGGATGCCATTGATTAGATAGCATGCAATGCAGAAAAAGTTGTATTTGGTAAAGGCTGGACCAAGTTCAGTTATACGCCAAAGCCTCAGTTCAGTTTTACCTCTAAATCTATCCATTTCCATTGCTTCCTCAGTTCGCAAAGTACTATGAAGTCGATTACAGTAACCATGTGTGGTCTTCCCAGGACCTAAATTGCTGACTCCCAATAGAGAGTGTTTTCCTAAAGTATATGAGTAATTATGGCTCTTGGGCCATTGGGTCACTAGTACAACAATGTTTTGAGTAGTTACTAAAAAATAACCAAATCATAACTAAAATAATTTTTCATTTGACCTTTAAGTTAGCCAACAGAATAAGAAGACATCAAATAAAGCCTAGACATTAAAATTCCGATTGTGGAATGTGCGTTATTTATCTGAAGTTTCTTTTTTTAGAGCATGTGTTGTTAGAAAATTCCTACTCTGTTGTATTCTGTTCATTGCCACGATTTATTGAGCACTGACCTGTAGGTTAACTCATTGACTCTTCACCATCTCGCGAAGCAAGTTTGTGAATAAATAGTCCAAAGGGAACTCATTTAACTGAAATGGGTCTTTAAAGAGTTACCCAAAGGAGAAGTTAGAATCTTATTAGCTTCTCTGTAGTTAATAAGATGTTTATTTCATAGAGGCAATGACACTTCATGCCATGTAGCCAACACAGCTAGATTAGGTAACTAGTAATGTATTACTGCTTCATTTGTAAAATATTCTGGCAGCTGTCTACTGCTAGTATCTCAAGATAATAATAATGAATTCTATTGAGAAGCATTCCCCAGCACTTTTATTAAAAAAGAGTAAGTGGCATAAATTGGCAAATACATGTTACCCTCACTATCACACGCATTTCTTTCTTTATGGTAACATAAGGTGAATAATTGGAAAATAAATTTTATTTGTTCTCAGACTCAACCTGTATGGGTAATAGTTTTTATTGCCTAGCCTTACGGCTATGTCAGTATTCAGCAAACGTGAACAGAATAATTTGTTTCCACTAGCTGCAATACTTGAACCAAGTTGTAATATTAATATGATTTGTAGATAATAAAAAAGAAAGTAGAACACCAGTGCATTTTTCACATAAAAATTTGACCCAGTTCAAGGTCGACGCTTAAGGATGTTGTCAACCGATCAATGAGGAGTGCCTAGAAATCATGGGATTGTAAAAGGTATGTTCCTTGGTGTTTGGAAGAAAAATTAGGGAGCGTTGTCTCCTTCTAACACATAGGTAAGGGAAGTCCAAGTTTTTCAGCAATCCTGGGCTAGTGTTTCAGCGATAGGTACTAGGAAGGTTCATATTCCCATTCTCAGGAGATGATTGCATAAAAAGATGGAGCACACACACACACACACACACACACTCATGCTGAGGAGAGCAGCATTGGCTGGGTGTATTTCAGGGGATGAAATTGAAGTCTTTTACTGGAGAGGAGCTGCATTATTTAAATAAAAAGAATCATGGTGACTGCATAGAAGTTGAATCACAGAATTTGTGTCTTCACAGTGGGATACAAAATTCTGTCTAAAGGATGTGTTGTCTCTGCACAGTTAGTCACATTTAGGGAATGGAAAAATCTGGGTCATCAAAAATACCCAGTTTCTTCCATTTTCTTCTCAGTGTTGAGGCTGTGACTCAAAAAGTCTCTTACACATCACACTGTGTTATTAATCCTTGTTGTCATAATAACATCCCTTGGGATTCAGGAAGGCACCTTGTGTACCCAACAGGGTTCCCCAAATAGAAGAAGGGAACAAGCATTTATCCAGGGACTATCCATACAGTATCCCATCTCATCCTCACAATAACCTATGAAGTAGTTCTTATCCCTGCTTTACAGTAGGGAACTCTGAGCTTGTAGAGACTAAGTAACTTGCCTCAGGATGCATAACCCTAAGTGGCAGAGCTGGAACACAAGTGCCATGTTTTCAATCATTCTTTTTTTTTTCTTCAGTTAAAATAACATATAATGGATACTATGACTGTGAGAATGCAAAAGGATCTTTTGATTATTTAAACATGCATTTTAATTTTGTCTTTGCAGACTAAAAGGATGATGCAGGCGCTTTGAAAGGGATTTCCTTAGGGGCTTTTTGTAATGTTGTGTAATCTTTAGAAGATGTAGATTTTAGCAAATGCTGTTAAAAGGCAATAAATGTTAGTTTGGATGAGGCTCTGTGGCCAGTTTTAGGAACAGTAGTCTTTGGAATTGAACCCAACATTTCACCTTAAGAATACAAGGCTTCAGTGTTCTAGTGGGTGAATGCATACACTCAAGAATAAGTGATTTTAGAAATAATTGCAGTGACTTACACATAACTCTACACCCAGCCTTGTCCATTATGTGAGTGCTGCACAGTCGAGCATTCATGAGTTACAAGTTCCCAAAGCCCCACAGGCTATGGGCCTGTTCTCTGGATGTACTAGAGGTTTCATCAGCATTTCCATTGCTCAGCACAGAATGTTAATATTTCGTGGTTCAGGGAGATTGTTTTATATACACAGCCTAATAACCAGAACCAATTGAGAAAAAAATATAAAGAAAATACAGATAGGTAGCAAAGTACAGCCTACAGTGGAACACCAACAGGGCTAGTGTTAGGAGGGGCAGCTGAGACCTGGGTTGAACACTGTAATTGTGTGGCTTTGAGCATCTTCTGATTGAAGTTACACATTTCAGGAGACTCAATTTTATGCACGTGGTATTGCCATAAGGGTAATTGCTACCTCCCTGTATTATAGCGGAGTTCCTCTGGGCATGCATAATACCTTTCTTTCATCATGCTCATCAAGACTTATTCATACTTTGTTATCAATTATCCTAGTAGCTCTACATATTAGGTAGTTACAAGTATTACAAATCATAGATTAGGCCACTAACATAAAGAAATGAGGTAAATTCCCTGCAGTCTTCTTGTGGGGCCATGTAACAGTAGAGACCACTTGAGTTTGCCAAGTTTGGTGGCCAAGTCCCATGTTTTGTCTGAGAACAGACAGAGGCTCAGGGATATTGGGATGATATTTGGTATGAAGGGTTTCTTATTTGGACTGCACCAAGTTAACTGTGTGCTGTGAAACATTATATGGCTTCATTTTCATTGGGAGAACTAGTGATATAAATGATGTAACGTGAACTAAGTGATTTAGCTAATTACACATATTTTTGGATGCTTCTAAAAAACTAATATGTGATCCTTGGAGTAGAGGAAGTTGTACATTCAAGGTTTTCTACCCTTTTTGTGTGTGTTTATTTTAATGAGGACAATGGGAACTACACCATTTCTTTCCTGTTAGTTCATCCTGGATTACCTTTTTATATCCATTAAACATAGAAATTCTGAAGCCATGTCTGCCTACATGTCATCCTGATTGCCTTTGTGTATAATTGCAGATCAAATGTAGAAGCAGTGACTACTTAAAAAAAAAGTTGTTATAGACCAAGGCTTGAGGAAAGAGAAAGGTACAGTGACAATGAGATATCTTGGGGGAAATTTGGTCCCGTAGACCAGGGGTTAGCAAATCATATCCTGTGGGCCAAACCACAGTCACCTGCCTGTTTTGGTAGGCCTATAAGCTAGGAATGGTTTTTACATTTTTTTAAAAGACTGATGGGGAGAAGTGAAAGGAAAAATTATATTTTGTGTTATGACAAGTATATGAAATTAAAATTTTAGTGTCTATAAATAAAGCTTTCGAAACGTACCATGCTTATTCGTTTACACATTGTGGCTTCTTTTACAGCAAGGATGGGTATTTCTGTGTGGCCTGAAAGGCTGAGAATGTGTACTGTCTGATCCTTTAAGAAAAATTTGCCACCTCCTGTTATATATAGTGGGGGCCAGTGTTCAGTTGGAAGATGCTTAGGCCCATGGCCTGTCAGCGTGTAACTCTATGTGTCTGAATTCAGAGAGCTGAGTACTAGCTGTACTTCATGAGCCCCATTGAATTGTGTTTGTTGTATTGTCATTGTTTTGTTAAAACATTATTTTTTTAAAGTTCTGTGGAACACTAGTGTGTCTACTGTAATGATATTATTCAGATTATTTATTAATTAGAACATTCCCTTTATAAATATCTCTGGAATTTTCTTTGTTTTTGTTTTTGTAGAGATGGGTCTCCCTATGTTGCCCAGGCTGGTCTTGTACTCCTGGCCTCAAGCGATCCTCCCACCTTGCCCTCCTAAAGTGCTGGGGATTGCAGGTGTGAGCCACTGTGCCAGCCTGGGATTTTCTTCATATTCTCTTTATAAAAATTCATAGAGAGACATTTCTGTCTAGTTTTACTACCAGAAGGGTTATATTTTTCTTAGCTGTGTGTGTGTTTGTGTGTGTATGTATTCATGTGTGTGTGTGTGTGTGTGTGTGTCTAATTCCTTTGCGAATTTTGGGACCATCCAGGTTTTCCCCCTCAAGATGCCTGCCAGAAAGCTCAGAAGTGAATTTTTGGCTTACTTTTTTTTTTTTTTTTTTTTTTTTTGCACCAGCTTTATGCTTGGTACCACTTCGTTTTATGCCCCTGGGTTGTTCTTTCCTTTTTCTTGTCCACTTCTGATTCATGAGTTTTTGCTATGCTTTATGAATCTTCTAAGTCACTGAATACTTTTAGGAACTCTACAGAACATTAAAATATAAAATTAATAGTAAGACATATCTGAATTTTTGTTCTAGAAGGTCCCAGAGCTCTCCTTTACCATTCTACCTCAGAGAGCCCTTTTCCTTCTGCATGTTATCTTGGGACTGTCCAGGGCTCTATGCCTGCAGGGCCTAGAGCCAGTCCATGAAGTGCTCATTGAGTGCTTTGTGGTCTAATGTTCTACCCTTCCTGCAAGCTTACAAATCAACCCCTTCAAGACTGATAAAGACAGAGCAGAGGTTCTTTAGTATCTAGAGTCCCCAGAAGTCAGGAAGGTTGTGAACTTGGATGGGTAAAAAAAATTTCTGTTTTGAGATGAAGTCTTGCTCTGTCTCCCAGGCTGGAGTGCAGTGGCACGATCTCGGCTCACTGCAACCTCCACCTCCTGTGTCCAAGCGATTCTCCTGCCTCAGCTCTCTGAGTAGCTGGGATTACAGGCACGTGCCACCACACCCGGCTAATTTTTTATATTTTTGGTAGAGATGGGTTTTCACCATGTTGGCCAGGCTGGTCTTGAACTCCTGGCCTCAGGTGATCCTCCTGCCTAGGCCTCCCAAAGTGCTGGGATTACAGATATGAGCCACTGCTCCCAGCAGTAATTTTTTTTTTATAACTTGTAACAGAAATTTGGCATTTTCTTCAATTATGAAGACAGGCAACAAACCACAGCAATATTAGCAATACTTGTGACTATGTCACCAGTAGAAACCACAGATACTTTAATATCAGATTATATCGTTGCAGATATTGCAAAATATCTGTGCTTTTTATAACTAGAAAATTAAGATCTATAAAAAGATCTATAAAAGAGTTATAAAAATACTTCAAAATTAAGATTATAACTGTCTACCTAGACAGATAGTTCTTGTTATTTAATACATTGCTAAAGAAGCATATTTATTACCGTGCTATAATTTTTAAAAAGCATTTTGTTACCGTAATTCTTTTTCTTTTATTGGCAATCCTTTGTGTTTTATGCATTTAAAAACACTTTTCTGAGAGGGGATCCATAGGCGACCATAGGGGTTTTTGACTCCAAAAAGGGTAAGAAACCTCCATGCATGGGTGTGCCCACATGCATGTATGCACACACAGACACAGATACACAATTTTTACATATGGTTTCAAGGAGTTACAGACTCCTCTTACAAGACCCATATCTAGGAACTGCAGTTTAAGATCTTATGCCCTGTTGGCTAAAATTCAAAATAGCAGGCCCTAAGAGGGACGGCCTTTATTTTGTCTTTTTAAAACACTATTCAAATGAATCTTTTCTAGTAATGACTTACAACACCCTCTTAGTCATAGCATTAGCACTGGCTGTTATCATTTAGTATTACCTCTTTCTTCTATAAAACAAGGAATGTGTATGTAGTTATGAAATCATTCTCTTGGTTTATACCATATCAACTAGATATTTGTCAGTGAAAAATTGAAAATCTACCTCTTCACCCTCTTTGAATTGTAGTTTGCATTAAAAAGATTCGCATATTTGAATTTTCAAAACTTGGTATGTGTGTATTTTGTAAGTTTGGAATTGGATAAAAATTACAAATATTATAATAAGTTAATGACATAATCCCTTTTGTATTCTTCTGTGTCTTGAGTGGTTTTGTTGCTGTAAGTCAAGCACATTTATTATTCATGTATAGGGGGGCCAAGTTTCATCTGAGAATGTAATTTCATGCTAATAGGTTGCGTTGTAAGTCCCTGGTTAGGATTTACTTATACCTGCATGGGTTTTATGCTTCCCTGTGTTCCATTCATTACGCTGCTATTCTGAATGCATCTCCTAATTTAGTGAGATCTGAGAGCCACCTTAGAGATTACGTAGTCCAGTTTTTCTCCACCCTGCTAAGCTTCACAAAATATTGATGCCTGGACCTCACTCCTAGTGAATATGATTGAATGGATCTGTGTTGGGGAATGGAGGCAGTCTTCAAAAACTGGCTACAAGGTTTCTTGGTTCAGCCAGGCTTGAGAACCTCAGCCTAGCCTAATTCCTTCCCCATGCAAATGAAAGCATTGTAACATGCCTGAGGGCCACCGGCTCAGATGAGTTTTCTCTACTTCAGAAAGCTATTTTCCCTTTCCACATTTCTTTTTTTTTTTTTTTTTTTTTTAATGTAAAGCCATTTCCCAGCCAGTGCAGTCTTCTGTGGTCACTACATTCCTCATGGAATATTTAAAATTAAATATTCCATGAGGAATGTAGCTGGAACGTTTAAAAGCTTACTATCCTTGTCCTGTTTTACCGTTACCTAATGGGAAGACAGCTTTCTGGAAAAACCTGAAGACCATTCTTTCTTAGTGAGCTGTTCTTGACGGTGGTGACTTTATCTTTGGAAATTTGCCCGATTCCCATATCACAATTAAGGAAGTGGCTTAAGAAAGTAGCTTGTAATTCTCTAGAGTGTAAGTCTCCAGATCTCACTGTTGAACTTTGTATGTTCCAGTAGGACTAAATCTAAAATAATTTCCTTGTCACATTTGATAGACATGAGTATTAGGGACCCACATTGGAAGAACCCTCCAAAAACGGACCTGTCTTTCCTTTGTGAGTTTTCAGTGTAATTCTAGCATTTCTGGGAGAAATATGTAAGTACCTCAAGGGCAGAAATCCTGCCCACTTAAATGTTTCATAATTATCACCTAAAACTTAGAATGGATCAAATTAACTAATTAGCTTTGTACCTTTTCAACACAAGCTAATAGATTGCCTGACTTCGTTTATCTGATCATGAATTTTGATCAACTTTATCTCATTAGGTTTAAAAATTAATATGTTGCGTTATATAGCACTTATCTTTACAGAGATTATTCATCTTCAATGCAATAAATAAAAGAAAAGCCAAGCCAGGTGTGATGGCACATGCCTGTAGACACAGCTACTTGGCAGGCTGAGGTGGGAGGATCACTTGAGCCCAGCGGTTCCAGGCCTGCAGTAAGCCCAGATTGTGCCATTGTACTCCAGTCTGGATGACAGAATGAGACCCTGTCTCAAAAAAAAAAAAAAAAAAAAAAAAAAAAAAAAAAAAAAAGGCCGGATGCAGTGGCTCATGCCTATAATCCCAGCACTTTGGGAGGCCGAGGCAGGCAGATCACTTGAGGTCAGGAGTTCGAGACCAACTTGGACAACATGATGAAACCCCATCTCTACTAAAAATAAAAAAATTAGCCGGGCATGGCAGCACACTCCTGTAATCCCAGCTACTCCAGAGATTGAGGCAGGAAAATTGCTTGAACCCGGGAGGCAGAGGCTGCAGTGAGCTGAGATCACGCCACTACACTCCAGCCTGGGCAACAGAGCGAGACTCCATCTCAAAAAATAAGATAAAATGAAAAGACAGATATTTAATGCAGATATCTAAGCTTTAAAAGATTGGATGACTCAAGCCAATGGCAATTCTTTTTTTCTGATTTACAGTTGTGTTTTTTTAAAGATGGCAACTTTGTTTTACTTTCTTCTTCCTTCTATATTATTTTGAAGTGAATTTGACTGCAAATATTTTGAAAAATATATGCCCCTATGTATTGAATCTAAAAAGCAATTACAATTTGTCCTTTTCCTCTAATTCTCCTATGCAACTATCAGAATGGAAAATAAATTTCAGGATACTTTTGGATCAAAAATGACAGAAATCAAATTGCTTGACATCTAGTAACCAGAGTGGACATGAAAGAGGAGTCAATTCTACAGCAAGCCCTGTAACCAGCTCCGTGCAGGAGAAACATGGAGAATTAAGACAATCACCTCCCTCTAAGAAGCTTTGTGTGCTTTTCCCAGATCTTCATTTTCATAGGCAGTATGATTTCAAAATGTTGTCCAGTAAAAACTCTTTATCAAGTTATAACTGGAAAGCTACCCACTATCTCTTTATATAATGACAGCATCCACTATGTAAGATTTATATTACATGCATGCGTGTGGAATGTACTTTGAACCACTCTCTAACTATGATCATAGGTCAGTACCTGCCAGAGAATGGAGATTTTTAAAAATTGTGATCACAGATTTGAGAATATAATCTTTTTAAAAAAGATATGCTTAGCCTTGTAAATAAAGATAAGCATTTTAAGAATTTATTTTATAAAGAAAAGGTTTGATGGAGCAAAGATTTAAGCATTGAGAAACCCATAGACCTACAAGAAAAAAACATGAATCTTATATAATCACAGAATGGGGAAGACCACTTCTAAGTATAATACACATTCAGATACTATAAATTTTTTTGAATATAAAAACTTTTTTTTCCCAGAAATAAATCTGCATCTTTATAGCCAACTGATTTTCTACAAAGGCGCCAAGACTATACACTGGGGAAAGGATACCCTCTTCAATAAATGGTGCTGGGAAAATTGACGATCCATACACAGAAGATTGAAACTGGACCCCTGTCTCTCACCATATACAAAAATCAACCGAAGATGGATTAAAGATGTGAATATAAGACCCCAAACTTTAAAACTACTAGAAGAAAACACAGGGAAAACACTTCAAGATATTGGTCTAGGCAAATATTTTATGGTTAAGACCTTAAAAGCATAGACACCTAAAACGAAAATAGACAAATTGAACTATATTAAACTAAAAAGCTTCTGCACAACAAAGGAAACAATCAACAGCATGAAGAGGCAACCTGTTGAATGAGAGAAAATATTGCATACTATCTTCTGACAAGGGACTAATATCCAGACTATATCAGAAACCCAGCAGCGTAAAAAAAAAATTCCATTAAAAAGTGGGCAAAGGACATGAATAGACAATTCTCAAAAGAAGACATGTAAATGGCCAACAGATATGTGAAAAAATGCTCCACATCACTAATTGTCAGGAAAATTCAAATCAAAACCATGAGATATTACCTCACCTCATGTAGAAGGGCTAATATGTAAAAAGACAAAAAAAAAGTAATACTGGTGAGGATGTGGAAAAAAGGGAATTCATACACTGTTGGTGGGAATGTAAATTAGTAAAGCCACTGTGGAAAACAAATGGAGATTTCTCAAAAAACTAAAAACAGAACTATGATACAGTCCATCAGTTCCACTACGGGTATCTATTCAAAGGAAAAGCAATCAGTATATCAAAGAGATACCTACATTTACATGTTTATTGTAGCACTATTCATAATAGGAAAGACATGGAATAAACCCAGGTGTCCATCAACAGGCAAATGGATAAAGAAAATGTGGTATATGTTTACAATGGAATACTATTCAGCCATAAAAAAGAATGAAATCATGTCATTTGCAGCAACATGGATGCAACTGGAGATCATTATATTAAATGATATAATCCAGGCACAGAAGGACAAACATTGCGTGTTTTCACTCATATGCAGAAGCTAGAAAACTTGATATCATCAAGGTAGAGAGTAGAATGATACATACTAGAGGCCGGGAAAATTGGTTAGGGTGGGGAGATGAACAAAGATAGGTTAACAGGTACAGATACAATTAGATAAAAGTTATAATAAGTTCTATCGTTCTACAGCAGAGCAGAGTGACTATAGTTAGCAACAATGTATTGTATATTTCAAAGTAGCTGGAAGTGAGGACTGGAATTGTTCTCAACACATAAAAATAATAAATGCACAAAGTGATAGACTCTTCAAATACCCTGACTTAATCATTACACATTCTATGCATGTAACAAACTACCACATGCACCCTGTAAGTATGTAAAATATAATATATCAATAAAAAGCCAAATATTTTAAAAATTACATGCCAATTTTTTTTATGTGTGTTAAAACAAAAGTCAAAAGACAAGCGAAAACCTAGGGGATAATTTGTAACTCATAGGAGACATAGGACTGTTTTCCAAAATATATAGAACTCCTATAAATCAATATTTTTAAAAATCAGCAGGTCTGACACAGTGGCTCATGTCTGTAATCCCGGCACTTCAGGAGGCTGAGACAGGTAGATTGCTTGAGTCCAGGGGTTCGAGACCAGCCTGGGCAACATGACAAAACCCCATCTCTACAAAAAATACAAAAATTAGCCAGGTATGGTGGTGCGTGCCTGTAGTCCCAGGTACTTGGGAGGCTGAGGTGGGAGTATCGCTTGAGACTCGAAGGTCAAGGCTGCAGTGAGCCACCATGATCGTGCCACTGCGCTCCAGCCTGAGCAACAGTGAGAACCTATCTCAAAAAAAAAAAAAAAAAGTCACTCTCATCACAGTCTCCACTGTTGTAATGGTCCACTGTCTGCAAGGACAAGTTATTGATCAGGAGGATTTCCAACCAAGAGCGAGAACCCAAACAAATTAGCACAACTCATCTTCTGCTTCTGTAACAAACAAGTTGTCCAGTTGTCACTTTGGGCACTAAAGAGGGACTTACTCTCAGATTTGGGAACTAGACCCGTTACTATTTTCTTTAGCACTGGAGGGAGCCTTCCTTTATTTGGTCTCACTCTAAGTTGGTTTCACACTGAAGTCAATTTTAAGTCTGTGCTTTGCAAGTATGAATTGAAAATGGTGGTGTGGGGTGCTTTCTTGGCTTTGGCACCTGGATAACAAAGTTCCCCAGGAACAAGCTTTCATTCATCAATGGAATACACTGGATTTCTGTCTTACAGTTCAGGGTGGGCCAGAAGGAGCCATGGTGGGTCTGTAGAGGGATGAATTAGCATCCTGTTAGAAAGGTGCTGGGTCCCTCCTCAGTCACTTTGAATGCTCCCTGTTTTTGCAGCAGTCATGACCCATATTTTTAAACTTTTAAAGTATAAAGTCCATACAGAAAAATATATAAATTTTCAGTGTGCTACTCAATGAATTTGTGTGATGGTATTTCAGGTAGTATTCTGTTTTCTAATCTGTGTACTGGAACACACTTTCATAACTGGCACACAGATTAGGAAACAGAATACTACCTGAATCCCACAAATGCCTTCCAGTCACTACCTCCTTCTCCTCGGTAACCATCCTGACTAATCTTGCCGGTTTTTGAGCTTTTAGAAATGGAATTCTACGTTATACAATCTTTTGTGTTTGGTTTCTTTTGCTCCGAGATGTATTTGTGAGAGTCATTCATATTGTTTGTGTGCAATTGGAATTTGTTCATTCTCACTGCTATATAGTGTATTCCACTGCTGGAATAATTAAATATGTGTTTCTCAACTGGGGGTGATTTTGCCCTTTGAGGGACATTGAGCAATGTCTGGAGATCTTTTTCTAGTTGTTACAACTCACAGTAAGGGAAGCGGGTGTTGCTGCTATTATCCTACAATGCACAGGACCACAGGACAGCCCTCCAACACAAAGAATTCTCAGGTTCAAGACATCAATAGTGCCAAGGTTGAGAAACCCTGCTGTACATAGCGTTGGATCGTGTGAATATACCACCATTTATTTCTCTGTGTATTTCTTAGAGCCTCAACTTGAGCATTCATGAGCATAATGCAGCTCAGCCCTGGCTTTGAAGTTCTTGAAACCATGCTTACCACCATCAGAATAAAAAGACTATCAAACAGGAGGAGTTTTAAATGTTTACAATAACTGTTAGAGTCAAAATACACTGTCATGTATAGCCTTGGTCATAGACAAAAATTGTACATTTTGGAACTACTACAAGAATTTGAAGAGGTTTTAAGTGAGAAAGTGAAATGGGCTAAGTCAAGGTTTTCATCAAAGAATGAAAAGACTTTTCTTAGAAACAGCTTTATTGAGAAATAATTTATATACTATAAAATTCACCCATTTTAACTGTACAGTTTAAAGATTCCTAGAAAATTTACAGAGTTGTACAACCATGATCACACTCTAATTTTAGAACATTTTCATTACGCTAAAAAGATCCCTGGTGCCCATTCGCAGTCATTCCCATTCCTACTCCAAGTTCCGAGAAGCTACCAGTCTACTTTCTGTCTCCTGATAGTTTCCTTTTTTGGATGTTTCTTATAAATGGAATGATAAAATATGTGGTCTTTTGTGACTGGCTTCTTTCACTTAGCATAATGTTTTAAGATTCATTCATGTTGCTGCAGGTATCAGTACTTCATACTTTTTATGGCTGAATACGATTCCATTGTGTGGGTATACCACATTTTTTATCCATTAACAGGTTGATGGACATTTGGGTTGCTTACAGTTTGGGGCTATTATGAAGAATGGACATGAAGAATTTTTGAAGCGTGGCTAGATAAATGGTTAGCACAAGTAGGCTTTTGAAGAAGGGACATGATTCTGGGCCAGATGACTTATTTTGTTTAGAGGAATAATTTGAGTGATTGAAAAAATAGAATACGAAGGGAAAAGGACAAGAATGGCACAAGAAGTATTAGACTTACAGGGAAAGGAGATCTCTGACATTTACCCATACAGACCCTAGTATTTCAAAGGCATTGTATAGCCATGCCGGCTAGGCTATAGAGCAGCAAAGGTCTACAGAGGAGCAAAGGGTAACATCCCACTCTCTTCCCCAGTCTTGCAGGCACAAACGCAGTTGGCATAGCCTTGAGGCTGATTTTTCCAGATGAACCAGGAAGACCCTT
Source organism: Homo sapiens (assembly GCF_000001405.40). Lineage (NCBI taxonomy): Eukaryota > Metazoa > Chordata > Mammalia > Primates > Hominidae > Homo > Homo sapiens. The sequence goes on from NC_000010.11 coordinate 87,682,373, forward strand.
GGTTTTTGGCAGATTTAATAACCAACATTCAAACAAGGCACTTTAAAAAATCTACAATTCGAGAGGATTTCCTGGCACTATATAAAACCCCTTCCATCAATGGGAGTTGTTCTCCCTTCTTGAATTGGAGTGTTCATTAAGTCCATAAAATGGAAAGCACATGTAGGATAATAACACAGATATTTTGTGTTAGAGAAAAGTTATGAAGCATGGCATCGAAAGAGGTTAGAAAAAAAAAATTCACTAAAAACAATCATGAAATGGTAAAGAAAATTCCCATCCTCAACCCATCTGCATCAAATGAAGATGCTGCTGACAGTAGATATTAAAAGAGATGTTGAACACATAAGGTCCAGGTGGCCGCAATGCTTTCCTTTTATCCCTTCCTACATAGATAGATGGAAGGGACTCGGCACAATAAAAAGAAGGAGCATGTAGAAAAACATGGGCGATTTGAGACCTTCCAAGGCAGAGCAGGCCAGTAAAGGTGAAGCAGCTGGAAGCCTTTTTTCTCCACCAGGAAAGGAGGATAGAGAGCAAGGGAGGTTTTAAGTGGGAGATGCTGCGCGTGCTTTCCCCATAAATTCTGAGGGCAGTGCACAGTATTCCAAGTTGTGTAGCTTCTCACATGCAAGCTAGGCCCAGAACCACTTGAGTTCACAACTATTTCTTTCTTTTTCTTTTTCTTTTTTTTCTTTTTTTCTTTTCCTTTTTCTTTTTTCTTTTTTTTTTTTTTGAGACAGAGTCTTGGTTTGTCCCCTAGGCACTGGAGTGCAGTGGCATGATCTCAGCTTACCACCATCTCCCTCTCCCGGGTTCAAGCAATTCTCCTGCCTCAGCCTCCTGAGTAGCTGGGACTGCAGGTGTGCACCACCTCACCCAGTGAATTTTTGTATTTTTAGTAGAGACGGGGTTTCACCATGTTCGCCAGGCTGGTCTTGAACTCCTGACCTCAGGTGATCCACCCACCTCAGGTGATCCGCCCACCTCAGCCTCCCAAAGTGTTAGGATTACAGGCGTGAGCCACCGTGCCTGGCCCACAGCTATTTCTTGAAAATGAGTTCAACAATGTGGACCTTCTGTGTGTGCAAGGGAATATGCCTTATATTCATCCTCTATTCTATCACCTGACAAGAACGAAACAGAGTTCAATGGTCTAAATTTGCATTCACGTGCAGGGTTCCTAGAAATGATGATCCTGCATAATTGTTGTGGAAATCATTTGTCTTCTATTGGATTCATGAAGGCTTAAACACATGGTCAGGGGATCAGACTCACTAATAGCTCTTTTATGTTTCTTCCACTTATTGAGATAAAATCTTTTTTTTTTTTTTTGAAACAAGGTTTCACTCTGTCACCCAGGCTGGAATACAGTGGTGTGATGATGGCTTGCTGCAGCCTCAACCTCCTAGGTTCAAGTGATCCTCTGGCCTCAGCCTCCAGAGTAGTTGGGACCACAGGTGCAAACCACCACACACACTTGGCTAATTTTTAAAATTTTTGTGGAGATGGGGGTTTCGCTATGTTGCCCAAGCTGGTCTTGAACTCCTGGCTTCAAGCGATCCTCCCACCTTGGCCTCCCAAAATGCTTGGATTACAGAAGCGTGCCACCACACCTGGCCTCAGATGAAATATCCTGCATTTACTCCATACTAGAGAAAAATAGAGACGTGACATGTAGCCTGCATAGCTTTTTTGAATTCTTTTACAATCACTCTGTACCAGTACGTGTTGTCAACAAAATGCAGCAAAATAAAGAGTTGCATGATAATTTTAATGCATGACCAATGAAGATTGAAGCCAGCCTGTTGGGTTAATCCTGTTTTGTTTCAATCCTAGTCTTTCCCCTCAGGAGCTAGGTTTTTGGCTGGACTGACTGGATAATTGTTGCAGGAATCTCTTTCCATCTTCATGTATGAAAGCAGTGATGGGGTATGTGATTAAACCATGTTAGACAATATGATTAGGCCATGCCATTATTCTTTCACAGTTGCAAAGGTAAGCTATATTTCTCAGGCTGTCATCCCCACAGCTAATGCTTTGTGTAAGTCTTCAGGGAGCAGCTCACATGTGCTGATGACAAGTTCAGTTCACAGTGTGACTTGTCCAACACAGGATGTCTGCCGTGTCTTTGAACGCTATAGATTATTTGCTTTGCTGGTTTTTGTGTTTTAAATACGTGGAACCGTACAATGTGTACTCTTCTGTGTTTGTAAGATGCATCCTTAGTGTTGTGCGTAGCTGTCCTTTGTTCATTCTCATTGCCGTGTGGTATTCCATTGTGTAAAGACATCACAATTTATTTACCCAGACTACCACTGATGGGCAGTTGGGTGTCTCAATATTTATAGCAACTGTGTGAGGTAGGTGCTATTATTCCATCCATTTTGCTGACGGGGAGATTGAAGCTACGAGTGGCTTTAGAATTGATTACCTCAAGTCACACAGGTCATTTCGTGGTTGAGCCAGACCTTGAGCCAAGGTAGCCCAGGCTCCCTACCCTCACCCTTTTATGCCTCAGTGTCTGACTGAGCTATTTAGTGAAGCACTTCTTTGATCTGTCTCTGTCTTTCTTTTCTCCCTCTAAAGGACTGCCTCTGAAGGAAAAATCCAGGTCACCAGGCTACACAGGGACTCATCTCTACCCCTGGGACTAAAGCTTGGCTCTCAGATCCAGTTTTCTGAGCTTAGGGTAGGGCTATCCCCAGTGACCCCATTCATTCACCTGCCATGTCTGAATCCATGGGAAATCCTTTGTAGGCTCAAGCTGAGCCCCCCACTTCAAAAGCATATTTAAAAGCCAAATTAACCCCAGAGAGGAGAGTTGAGCTTGTCTCTGTGTTGGTATATTTTTGGCTTTAACTGTTCAGGCTCTACTCTTTTCAAGCAGAGTATGAGGAAACCTGAGGACTACATTTTTGTTTTGTTTTGCTTTTCCTGTATTAGAATTTTTATTTTCTGTATGGAGTCTTCTCTTTAATGTTTGTAGGAAAAGAACTGCCAACTCATATTTTATGTTTTTTAGAAAATTGTCAGGCTGAGTGCAGTGGCTCATGCCTGCAATCCTGGCACTTACGGAGGACAAGGCGGCTTGAGCCTGGGAGTTTGAGACCAGCCTGTGCAACATAGCAAGACCTCATCCTTACAAAAAAATAAAAACATTAGCTGGGCATGATGATGTATACCTGCAGTCTCAGCTACTCGGGAAGCTGGTGGTGGGAGGATCGCTTGAGCCTGGGAGGTTGAGGCTACAGTGAGCCACAATTGTACCACTGCACTCCAGCTTGAGTGACAGAGTGAGACCCTGTCTCAAAAAAAATTTTATTTTTTCACAATGCATGTTTCTTTCTGTTGTTTCCACAGAAACATTCAGGTAGAGGCTACAGATTTACATGAAAAGGAAAGATCAGTTTCCTAGCCTTGTGTCAGGAGCCCATGTGAGGCCAGTTCTTGGCTTCTCCTTGGCTGGAAATAGGAGGGTACAAATAGGGTCACCTACTCTCAAATTCTGCGGTTCAAATTGTGGTTGGAGATGAGATGTTCTATTTCTGCATCTCTCCTGGACCATCTTAGAGCAGTGCAAAGTTTACTGGATCTTCCAGTGCATTATTGGCCTTTGGTGTGATGACGAGAGAGCAGGAAGGAGGTCTCCAGCTCCTTTTCTGAGTTCAGATGTTCCCTAGCCCAAGAAGACTAATCATGCACCTGGTTTCCTGCTCTGAAAAATAAGAAGTGATTTTGGCAGCCTTTGAATCTGGATGGAAGGTGGTTTTTTTTTTTTTTCAGTAACAAAGGTAGTTGTGTATGTATGTACAGAGATAGATTAAAACAATTTTTTTTCCTAGAAGCATTTTACAAAAGTTAAGTGTGCAAGCTATCCTGTCGAACTTTGTCCTTTTTTTTCTAGACACTCCTTTACACTGTGGAATCTGTGAGTAGTGCCAGCCAGGAGGAGAGTGGCAACTTTCCAAAAAAAAAAAAAAAAAAAGAGGCCCTTTTACCCATTGGTTAATAGAGGGGGAGGGTGCAGCTATTTAGGAACATCTGAATCCTGTCATTCTGGAGTCTGGAATCCCCTTCTCTTCCCCCTCCAAGGTCTTCGTATAGCTCACCTCACACCCAGTACACACACCCGCTCCTGGGATACTGTATCCTATTCAGCCACCTCCTAGCCAGTGGACCACCTCATAACTAATGTCAAGGTTATGTGTAAAATCTGAATGTGCTTAGATCTTGATAGGAAAATTATCTAAATTTTGAAAAATTGCTATGTCTACAATTTCAGAACTGGTTGTCGACTCATGAGACGACACTTACTGTTGTCCCATGATTTAATTGTTTTTACCAACTAACAATTTGGAACCAAGGCTTTTAAACCATCCCTTCTGATTAACGTCAGAGAAGAGGGGCATTCCTTTGAAAAGAATTCCTAAACAGAATTTTTATAAATGGAGTACAAAATAGCACGAGGAACAGTGAGAAACATCTTCAGGATTCCCATGGCCTAGGCATGGAATAAATGCAAGGTTAGGGCTTATTTTCTGAGAAATAAACCCTTAGTAGGATGCTAGATAAAACACAGGACATCCAGCTAAATTTGAACTTCAGACAAACAAGAAATACTTTTTTGATATAAGTATGTCTCAAATATTGCATGGGGCATCCTATGTTTTTATTTGTTAAATCTGGTCATTTTAACTAGGTTTGCAATATATTTTCAGCACAATTTCAACAGTTCATATTTGCTGAGTACTTTGGGCATGATGGTTAGAGTCAGAGGTGACTTTAGGAGCTGCAGGCCTTGTGTGTGTCCCTTTCACCACTATCCCCACAGCCCCAAGTACAATCTTTGGCATATAGTTGAGCTCAATAAATATATTTTGAAAAAATTAATCAAAATGATAAAATAAGTATGGACTATGACTAACTGATGATGCTTATGACGTAGGTGGGAATACAGGCTCCTATATTAAAAAAGTTATTGTGGCTAATACTATCTTATTTTGGATTTTAACTGGTTAATTTGCTTAATAGACTAGCCCACTTGGTTGAAGGATTCAAATTCTAAATATACGAAAGGTTATTTCCATTTCAAAAAGTGATGCAGAAAGACAAATAGCATGTTCTCTCACTCATATGTGGATTCTAAAGATGACCGCATAGAAATAGAGAGTAGAATAGTGGTTACCAGAGGCTGGTAACGATAGAAGGGAAGGGAGGATGAATACAGTTACATAGGAGGAATAAGTCCTGGTGTTCCATTGCACAGTGAAGTGCCTATAGTAGCTAGAAGAGAGGATGTTGAATGTTCTCAGCATGAAGAAATGATAAGTGTTTGAGGTGATGGAATGCTTACCCTGATTTCATCATTACACAAGGTATACATGTATCGAAATATCACCTTGTACTTCATATATATGTACAGTTATGTCTCAATTAAAAATTTAAAAAACTCTTAAAAAGAAAAAAGAATCAAGAGAGAAGAATACAAAAAATGATGATTAAGTGGAAATTAAACCATAGTTTTATCTGGATTTGATGTAATTTTTTAAATGATTTGATTTAGACTGTGCTATTGGACAATGCCACCTATTTTCTTTCATATACACTTTTATTCTAATGTTCTAATCAATTAAGTCCTGTATATTTAATATTCATTTCTGTCAGGGTTGAATTTGATCCAGGAGAAATGGATGTGTACTAACTAGTCAGGTGTAACTGGAATCTTACTATAAAGTAAAAATTATTGTAGGCCTTCTAAGGAATTTATAATTCATTAAAATACATATAATAACACTAAAAAGCTAATTAATATATAATATTCTAGTTAAAAATTAGGCATATATGACTATATGCAATAGTGTGGAAAACAATTAGGCATGGAAATTATTGTTAGAGTTTATTATTTTTCAAAAGATAATGATAAAACACACCTGTAAATTTAATATAATTATAAATTCGTCAAATCTCAGGATGGTAAAACCTTAAATATACCATTTGTAACTGACATTATGTATTCTCTTTCTTCTTCAGAGGAAAACCCTGAAGAACTATGGAAATTTCTTTTTTATTTTATTTATTTATTTATTTATTTATTTATTTATTGAGACTAAGTCTCACTCTGTCACCCAGGCTGGAGTGCAGTGGTGGGATCTCTGCTCACCTCAAGCTCCGCCCCCCGGGTTCATGCCGTTCTCCTGCCTCAGCCTCCCCAGTAGCTGGGACTACAGGCGCCCGCCACCACGCCTGGCTAATTTTTTTGTATTTTTAGTAGAGACGGGGTTTCACTGTGTTAGCCATGGTCTCGATCTCCTGACCTCATGATCCTCCCGCCTCGGCCTCCCAAAGTGCTGGGATTACAGGCGTGAGCCACCAAGGCCGGCAGAACTATGGAAATTTCTAAGAAACAAAAACCCAAACAGTCCTTCTTATTCAGACTTCTTTGTAAAACCGACCAAAATAACTCTCTCTTTTTCTTAATTGCTTGAAGTGATACTCACATTCAGTTCCACTAGTTGTCTCTAAGCAGTGGTATAACCAGAATAATTGGAGTCCCACCTGAAAGAAAAGATGGATAAATTTAACTACCTTAAAAAAAAAAACTGTATGGAAAGCAACTCCATAAACAAGTCAGAAACAACATTATTCACAAAGTTAAGGAATAAAGAACCAGGGGTCAGGGCCGGGGCCAGTTGCGGTGGCTCACGCCTGTAATCCCAGCACTTTGGGAGTCCAAGGCGGGTGGATTACCTGAGGTCGGGAGTTGGAGATCAGCCTGACCAACATGGAGAAACCCCGTCCCCACTAAAAATACAAAATTAGCCGGGCATGGTGGCACATGCCTGCAATCCTAGCTACTCGGGAGGCTGAGGCAGGAGAATTGCTTGAAACTGGGAGGCAGAGGTTGTGGTGAGCCGAGATCATGCCACTGCACCCCAGCCTAGGCAACACGAGCAAAACTCCATCTCAAAAAAAAAAAAAAACAAAAAAAACCCACAAAGAACTTGTGGCCTGGGGGACAGGCGCAGTGGCCCAGGCCTGTAATCCCAGCACTTTGGGAGGCCGAGGCAGGTGGATCACCTGAAGTCAGGAGTTCGAGACCAGCCTAACATGGTGAAACCCCGTCTCTACTAAATACAAAAAATTAGCCAGGCGTGGTGGCGCATGCCTATAATCCCAGCTACTTGGGAGGCTGAGGCAGGAGAATCGCTTGAACCTGGGAGGTGGAGGTTTGCGGTGAGCCGAGATCGTGCCATTGCACTCCAGCCTGGGCAACAAGAGCGAAACCTTGTCTCAAAAAAAAAAAAAAAGAAAAAAAAAAAGAACTGGGAAGATTACATAATATCTTCAGGGCTCCTGCAAATTATAAGAAAAGACCAATAATGGAATAGAACAAGGGGTAAAGAGTATGAATGAGAGTCCAAAAAAGAAAAAGGAAAAAATACAAACAGTCGTAGACATAATAAAAGGTGTAAGGTGTACAATATAGCTTATAATAGAAATTTAAACTAAAATCACATTGAAATACCATTGTTCATTCATCAGATTGGTAGAAATCCAAAAGTCTTGATATACTCTGTGGCAATGCTGTTGGGAACTGAAACTCCCATCCATCGCTGGTAGGAGTATAGATTGGTGTAATATTCTATAATGGACAATTTAGTTATATCTATTGATATGACAGATGTTCATACTGATTGACCTAGTAATCCACGTCTAGCAATTAATCCCACAGATATATTTTCACATGCAAAAAATTAAGTATAAGGTTATTAATTATTGCAATGTTTGTAATAATAAAAGACTGGAAATCATCCAAGTATTCATCAAAAAAGAGCTAGTTAAATATATATTCATACACCGGAACATTATGCAAGGGTAAAATGAATGAGAAAACCCTCTGTACTGATGTGGAAAGATTTGCCAAGACAGATCTGAAAAAGGTGTGTAATAGTGTGGAAAGGAGGATTAAGCAAATAAATGCCTATTTTAAAATTTATGCATAAAAAACTGACAGAGCATGTAAGGAACGAATAGAAATGACCATCTACTTTTAGAAGTGAGGAGGAGGGAGGCTAGAGAGATGGGGGCGGAGGCAGAAGTGGCAGCATGGCTTCTGCATACCTGCTTGTGTATATATCTTTTCAGTTTTTGAGCCATGTGGATGTGACTTATGCAATAATTAAATAATTAAGAAGAATATAGCATGAGCTAGGTCCAGAAGCCAGAGAGAACAGGGATATCTGGGGGAATTTCAGGGGTTAGATTGATAGGTGTGCAGAATGTGAAGGTGGAGTGGTAAGAGATGAGATGAAAAGACCCATTTTAATTATCATTAAAAACAACTATTTTTCTTTTTCTAACATTTATTGAGAGCTTAACTAAGAGCCAGACCCTGTGCTTTTATGTACATTTCCTCATTTAATCCTCATAACAGTTCAGTAAGGCTGCAGCTGTTATTACAATCATTTTATAAGTGAAGGAACAGAGAGGTTAAGTAATTTACTTAAGGGCATACAGCAGTTGGCCACTGGTGGAATCAGTATGCACAACCCATCATGACCCTGTGTTCATGCTCTTAACTTTTGTACCATTCTGCTTGTTCAAGGGAACATACATCCAACTGAGGGAGGTGGGGTGAGGGGCAAGAGTTTCTATCTTTCTACACAGTGAATTTTATTAATTCTGTAGAGCTCATCTTACAGTACTACCAAGTATGGCTGCCCCCAAATCTGTGACTCAGCCAAGATTATTTTTAAATATTTCCCATTCTTATGACCTATCCACCACTTTGGCACCTATCCTCTTCCAAGACTATCTCAGCATCTGGCTCGCTACCTTTGACCATAACAAACATTTGAATAACAAACCAAGTTTATGAAGTATCATGGGCATGACAAATTAGTTTAAGAAACATTCATTCAGTAAATTTTGAACCCCCATAGTATTCCAGGCATACAGATTCAAAGATAAACGTGAGCAAAGCAGCCTCTCTGGTGTTCCCATCTGGTGAAGAAGGCCGACATGTCAGCAAAAATCCATATTTAACCTACGTTCTCTTATATTGGTTAGTGTTACCTAGATTTGCCTAAGCATTAAAATCACTTGAGACACTTAAAAAAAAAAAAAGGCAACAACATAAAAACCCTAGTTTCTTGGGCCCTACCGCCGACCACTTGAATGAGAATTTCCTGGGGATGGTCCTGGGAATGTGTATTTTTAACAAGTGCCCATGAGAGTCTTAAATTAGGTAAGTTTGGGAAATGAGATATCAGTAGAAACAGGATACTGTGGGGTCAGAGGAGGAAGTTGCTCAGTCTGTCTGTAGGTGGGAAGATTAGCCAAAGCCTCACAGCAATGTTTAGGCCACACCTTAATGAGTGAGTAAGCACCCAAGGAGAAAGGACTTTCCAAGCAAGGAGAATTTTAAAAATTAGCCAGGTATGGTCGGTGCACACCTGTAGTCACAGCTACTTGGAAGGCTGAGGTGGGAAGATCACTTGAGTTCAGTGAGCCATGAACATGCCACTGCACTGCAGCCTGTGTGACAGAGTAAGCAAGACCCTGTCTCTAAAAAAAATAAAATTAAAGGGAATTTTACTCTACTGGCAAAGAAGAGAATGGCTTCATGGAAGAGAGGGAGTCCAGTTCAAAGGCTGTCAGGAAGACTTCTGGGAGCAATTAGCTAACTAACAGTGATGGAATGGCGTTTAGCTGAAATTTGCAAGACTTGATAGATTAATTTTTTTAATGAAGGAGACAAGCAATAGGATGGCTCCTAGCTTACAAAATGGGGAGAAGTGTGGGTCATCGCTAGTGGTGAGGAATATGGGAAAAGGAGCAAAGGGTGATGATAGGAAGATGAATTCCATCTTGATCCTGCTGAGTTTCAGTGGCTCTGGGGGGAATCATACCTACTAGGCATTTGGATATCTGAAGATAGAGATTTGGGAGCCCGCAGCATATGGATGGTAGACAAAGCCTTGGAAGCAGGTACAAATCACTGAGGGGTGTAGGGAGGAAGAGTAGAAGAGTGCTGAAGGCAGAGCTATGGATCCCTGACCCTAAAGAGAGATGGAGGAAGAGAGGAATATGGCAAGGAGTCTATGGAAGAGCGATGAGAAGACAGAAAAGCTCTGAGAGAGAACATTATCTTGGAAGCTGAAGAGAGAGTTTTCCAGAAAAAGAGTGGTCAATGGGAAGAAATGGAAGAGAGATGCTGTTTTAGAGATTATTGGCTGCTTGTTGTTTCTGCTTCTAATGCCTTGGTTTGCCAAATCCAGTCCAGATTCTACATGAATCTCCAGTTAAATGGTCAACCATATAACTGACAGGTTGTCTGATTTTATACAGCTTAAATTCCTAAGAGAATCTAATGGGTTCATCCTGTGTGTTGATTTCACTTGGGTCAACCTAGTGCAATAAGCCATTTTATAGGGAGGGTAGCCCGCGAGGTTGAGTCTGTAGCTGTGGCTGAGCAGATCACTGAGTGTGCAGGGGAAAGAGGATAAACACTGAAGATCTTGCCAATAATCATCATAACAACCCCCAATGTTGATTAGGCACTGTTTTAAACACCTTACACGTGGTAATTCATTTAATCTGTTTGAATATAATGGTGAGCATGGAAGTCATATTACAGTGAATTGAGTCCTCTACTACTAATAATGACAGTAAGTCTCTAGAAAGGCGTTAATCTGACTCTTCCAAAAATGCCCTTTGCTTTGCTCTCCCTTAAAAGGGCAGAATCCTTCCCTGGGTCCACTTTTGATGACTGGGTGGGAGACTGTGCCTTCTGATCAAGTTTCCTGAGTTCTTTTAATGGAATCATCAGAATATCACACATAAAATGAGGCCTTGAGCCAGGCTGGCATGGCCACACTGAAGTCCTGTGATTCTGTTTACCTGAGAGCATGATGAGTTTATTGGTCTTTCTTAGCCTTAGGAATCTGCCTTTCCAGTGCATGGTGTTTAGACAGAGTAGCAGCTGAATGAATTTTGAATTTAATTGTTCCCCAGCAGAGAGTGAACAACCTTTGCATATGCCAGCTTTTTGTGTAGACTTTTCAGAATGGTGATTTCAGGTCATTTCCAACCGAAGGACTCTTTCAGTTCATAATAACACATATTTTAATTAGCTATCTTTGGATTGTTCATATTTGTGGAGGAAGAAGCAGTGGAATAACCTACTTGAGAATGTGCTCAGAGCATGTGGCGCGTTTGACATACAAAAGCACTGTATTAAATAAGTGTCCAGTTCGGTCGTTTATTTAGATTTAGTTGATAACTTGGATTTCAGCACTAACTGAAATGCATTGGTTCACATTAGCTTAATCAATTCTCATAGAATATGGAGAGCTCACCAGAACTATAATTACAACAGCACATAATTATTTGATGCTGATTTCAAAGGATATTTTACAAATGCATTTGTGAATGGTAGTTCGTTCTTTTAAACGTTTGGACTGCTTTGGCTTTTTCTGTGGTGGGGCCTAGAAGAAGACAGGTCACAGCAGGTCTCACTTGAAGAAATCTTTAACACAGAACATAAAAGTGACTGTAACTAAAGTTTGGAACATGTCATTTTACTGAGTACTGACACTAGAGGAGTTTGTTTAAGGATATTCACATCAGTTAACAAATCAACGAAACGTTTATTAAACTTCTGTTACTCATTCAACAAATATGTAATGAATACCTACTATAAGTCCAAGTATTCCACATCATCTCTTTTCATCCTTGCAAACATTAGCAGGAACTATAATCCCACAATTTTATGAGATGTAGAGAGGTCAGGCTTAGCTTGCTCAAGGTTCTAGTGGAGGCAGAATTTGAACTGCTTCCAAACTGTCCAACATTAAAATCTATATTACTTCCTCTTAGCTGGATCTTATCAGGAAATCAAAGCTGTATAAGCTATGGCCCCTTCTGTGTGGGGTTGACAATGACATCTAAAACATCAGACTTAAGTCTATAAATCTAGAAAACATAAGGCATAAGTCTACACCACCCAGGCAAAGTGCCACAGGATCTCATAGCTACAGGAGTTTAGGAAAGAAGCATCAAGGAAGGCAGCCAGCACCCATGGGGTTTGTGCTGCTTGGAGAACAGGTGGTATGTGGATAGTTGAGGGCATGGAGAGATGATTCCAGTGGGAAGAGCTGAATGAGAAAAGGTGCAAAACCAGAATGACCAAGCTGTGTCCAGGAAATCATAAACAGACCTGCTGCTGAGAACAAAAGTTCTGTTATCTGAGAGTAGAAAATATGGCTGAAAGGTAAATGGAACCGGCTTAGCGGAGGGCCTTAAGTTCCAAGCTAAGGATTAGGACTTTGTTCTGTGGTTTATAGGAAGTGATTACAAGTTTTGGATATAAAAGTAACATGATTTAAGGGTGTTTTAGAAAATTAACCTGATTGTCAACTGGAAAAAGAGGTGATAGAGCTGGAAATCAGTAAAGGGGCTCTGGGCCAGGCAGGGAAATGATGTGATGGCTGCTTTACAACCTTGAGGAAACTCAGAAGGAGTAGGGTTCATGGGGGACTGTGTTCAGGAACAGGTCCAAAAAGTTAGGCCAGGCCAAGGGGGATATTTACGCACAGCAATGGAGGGCAGGGTAGCTAGAAGGAAAGCATAGTCACAAAGAGAGGCAAAGGCCAGGGCTGGAGAATCAGTTCATAGCATCAGGAGGGTCTAAGGAGTGAAATGCAACGATGTCTTAGTCCATGCAGGCTGCTATCACAAAATACCATACCCTGGTGGCTTATAAAAAACAAAGTTATTTCTTGCAGGTCTGGAGGCTGAGAAGTCCAAGAGCAAGGAACTTACAGATTCAGTGTCTGGTGAGGGCTGCCTTCTTGCTATAAGCTCACATGGAGGAAAAACGGCCAGGTGGCTCTGTGGGGCCTCTTCATAAGAGCACTAATTCCATTCATCAGGGCTCCTCCCTCATGATCTAATTACCTGCCAAAGGCCCAACCCAATCCTATCACATTAGGCATTATGTTTTTCACAAGCGAATATAAAGGGCAAAGGGAACAAAAAATAATTAGACCATAGCAGCCTGTACATAAAAAATGAGCAGGTTAGGGGGCAAAAGGCAAGGGGAGGACCCGCAACAAGTTCTGCTACAGAATGTGACACAAACTGAGGCACCCGGGTCAGGACCAAGGCTGAACATCATTTGGCAGCCAGCTTACTGCCTACTGTGGGATAAGCCTGAAGGTTGAAGTGGAAGTCACAGGAACCAAGACATGAAGGGTCTAAGTCAGAATGCTGACAGTGGAAATTGCAAGAAAGTTCTTATGTGATAGAGATCATGAAGAAAGACTCAACAGGATGTGCGGATACATAATTAGATCAATGATACATAATTAGAGAGGAAGGAGAGCAGTAGGTCCTATAAGCCCTCGTCGTCATTTTAAAAGCAAGCCATGTTCCAAGGGTAAATTTGGAAACTAGTTATTTGGGCTTTGGAAAAGTTTTATCACAAAGAGCCCTTTTCCATAAGGAGATGCTTTTTAAAAATATCAGTCTCACAGGTCAGGAGTATTGCTACACCCAGGATAGCCATGAAATCTAAACTTCCCCTGGCCTCACTGTCTTTCCACCTGCTATCTCCATCCAAATCTGGCTTCACGTGATGGCTTTTGGGTCCAGATGTGAAGATCTGTGAGCATCTATGGGTGTGGAAACCCCTCTCCTGAGGTCCTGGGGAATAGCTCCACATGCATATACACTCCCAACTTCAGCTATGAAATTCTCTATCTTGGGTCCATTCGAGGGCAGGATGCAATTTCAGGATTATTTGGTCCAAAAATATTTGCTCTTTTACCCTGCAATATTCTCTGTCTAATTGCTTCTGTTCCATTGTCCTGTTTCAAAAAACATAGCTCTTTTGAGTATTTGCCCTTCTGTGGAGTTTCAAACCTCCTTCTTTCTCCTCTTTTCTATTTCCTGGGCTCTCTCTATATGGAAAATTAAAGGCTATGTATGTTATAATAGGAGGCTTGAGGACATACAAAGGGCTGAATGAAAATTAATCTCACCTCCACTTTGGAGAGACAAAAGGGACTCAGAAGAGAACACTGCTAGGTCTCACTGGCTTTCTCTCAAAACAGAATCTCACTTGTGATATTTTTAAATGTTGTCCATAAATATCATAGATATGCCTATACTTGTTGTATGCACACCCAGCTGCTCTACCAGTGTCTTGTCCATTAATTTTTCTGTTTTTTCTGCTTTATTTCATGATATGCTTATGAAAGGATTTCTCATATAACTCCAAGCAATTTTAACCCTTAAATTAAAAGTAAAATAATAAAGTTAGCTATTTTAAGAAATGTGATCACGAAGGATAAAGAATCCAGCAATGCAGAAACTGAAGTGATTATGAAATGTTTAGGTTTTCGTGATTTTGTTTGTTGCTAAATCTTACTAAAATGCACTTTTTTAAACAATTAGACTTTTTATTTTTTTAGAAGTTTTGGATTTACAGAAAAGTTGAGAAGATGGTGCAAGGAGTTCCCATGGACCCTGACACCTAGTTTACTCTATTAGTAACTTTCACATTAGTGTGGTACAATGAATGAACCAAATATACATTGTCGTTAACTGAAGTCCGTACTTTCTTTAGATTTCCTTAATTTTCACCTAACATTTTTCTGTTCAAGGATCCTATCCCATGTTACATTTAGTTTTGTCTCCTTAGGTTCCTCTTGGCAGTGACAATTTCTCAGCCTTTCCTTGGTTTTGATGACCTTGACAGTTTTGAGGAGTACAGGTCAGACACTTTGTAGAATGCCCTTCTTGGAGTTTGTGTGGTGTTTTCTGGTGATTAGAATAGGCAAAAAACGAACATGGTTATGGCAAATAGGAAGATCAGGCAGGCTCAGGGCTCCAGTCACCCTAGTGTGCGTCCTGGCCGATTGGCAACTCCTAGCAACTGTCTCAGAGCAAGGGGCAACGAGGGGTCGGGGCTTCCACCCTGGCACCTGGGTTCACTCGATCCTGCATTGTACCCACTGCGGAAGGGTGAAGTTCCAACTCAGCCAGACACAGACCCCTGACCTGGAGGGCACCAAGGAGGGTGCCAAGGAGAGGTGGCTCACCTGTGCTCTGGGAGTGAGGAGCTGTCGTCAGGGTGTGTCCAAGGTTGATTACATAGAATTGTACCAGCTGGAGACTGGAGCCAGAGGAAGAGCTGCCTCAAGCAATTTCACTAAGAGGCGGCAGTCCAAGGAAAATAAGGCAGATTCCAGAGCATATGAGGAGAACCAAGATGGAAAGCACAGAACATATGATTATGATTCCAAGTGAAAGATGCAGCCAAAGCTCTCCTGTGTCATAAACCTGTTCCTTCCTGCAGGATATCTGAAAAAGCCAGGGCTGGGTGGTTTATCATCCAATGGAAACTCCACAGTCTCTTCTCTTCCAGATAATGCCTTGTTTGTAACCACTGCACAGACCTCTGGATTGACATCTAACATATGTGGTAGACAGAGGACCAGAAGTATACAAGACCTGTAACAGCATGCACAGTCCCATGAGGAGAGGGGCTTCTTTATTTTTCTTGGCAAACATCTGAATGATGCTTGCAAACTGTCTGAATTTGCCCTCTAGGGTTTTCCAACAATTTGCATGTTTTTCAGATGTTTTGGGAAAAAATTAAATACTGTAAAAAGTCATGCGGAATTTTTTTAAAAAGATGCCGTAAGTATGACCTCCATCTGTTTTTTTCTTTGTCATCGTTGTTGCAATGTTTTCATACTATTCAAATTCTTATCTCTTTGACATTAGTCTGTGGTTTATTTCCTACTAGTGGCTTCGAAAAGTCAAATCAACTTGGTTGTATGTATGTTTTCCCCTTAAAGTGTTTTCTCGTTCACAGCATTAACCTATGCAACATAACCTTCTGTAGCAGGAATTGAAGAAAATGATAATTTTTGGTTTTAAAGAAATTCTACTATAGCTTTTTTTTTGGTCTGATCACAATTTTAATTCATAAATTTCAGATTTGGGTAATTTTTGTGTTGCCCAGTAACTTTGACAAATGATTTAATTTGCTCTTTTCAGGAGTTTCTCAAATCATTTCTCTCAATTTTCACAACTGATATTTTGTCACTGTCTACCTGATATGGTTATTTCCCTTATAACTCAAGAGTAGTTTAACACAAAGTATAATCCTATAGTGTTGGAGGCTTCCGAGAGGCATTGTTTGCATGATAAGTAAATGCATATTGTGAAACTGTGTTCCTGGGATTGGATTTAGCATGATCTATTGTTGGCTCCCTTTATTCACAATCTCTCTTTACACAAAATACTTACGAACGATATTTTCCTTAGTGTTAAATCCCTTTTAAAACATGTTATCTCATGGAGGTGCACATCTGTAGTCATAGCTACTGGGGAAGCTGAGGCAGGACGATTGCTTGAGCCCAAGAGTTCAAGTCCAGCTTGGGCAACATAGCAAGACCTCGTTTCTAAAAAATAATCAAAAACAACAATAAAACCCCTATGTTATGAAATTTTAATTTAGTGACACTTATTCAGTTAAGACTTTCCTATCTACCAATAACCATAGTATTGGAATTGAACCTTAAATGTCCAGTGGGTGGTGACTGCATCAAAGTTGAATGAAACAGCCTTCTTGCTGTTCAGCTGTTTAGATAACTTATGAATATTGTTAGGGCAGCTTTCTCTGAGAGGTTGCCATTTGTCATATCAATTTCCAAAAGCTGTTATACCTTCATGGACATTTATTCTCCGAATGATATTTAAGTGCCAACACAAATTACCACATGATCAAGTGAAATGGACTATACTTTAAAGATTATCAGTGTAGAGCTCACTGCATTTCATTATATATTTTAAAGGGATTCATTGCCTTAAATATTTGCTCTCAAGATGTCAAGGTTAACATATATATTTTTTTGCAGTCAAAGTTTCCCTCTGTTACCCAGGCCGGAGTGCAATGGTGCATTCATGGCTCACTGCAGCCTCCTGGGCTCGAGGGGTCCTTTTACCTCAGCCTCTCCAGTTGCTGGGATTATAGGCATGAGTTGCCATCCCTGGCTAATAGTATTTTCTTATTTGTTCACTTGATTTGGTTATTGTTCTGTTGGTTGTAACTTGTTTTACAGGACTCACTTGTGTCCACACATCTGTGATCCCTTTGAACCTTAAGAATCAAACCATTGTCTGGGAGCGGTGGCTCACGCCTGTAATCCTAGCACTTTGGGAGGCTGAGGCGGGCCAATCACGAGGTCAAGAGAGTGAGACCATCCTGGCCAACATGGTGAAACCCCACCTCTACTAAAAATACAAAAATTAGCTGGGCGTGGTGGTGTGCGCCTGTAATCCCAGATACTCGGGAGGCTGAGGCGGGAGAATCACTTGAACCCGGGACGCAGAGGTTTCAGTGAGTCGAGATCATGCCACTAAAAAAAAAAAAAAAAGAATCAAACTATTTTGGCCTCTCCATTTTCTGGTTGAGAAATTCTTTATATTTTAAATATATATTTATTTCCAAATTTAATATTGAAAACTAGAATATAGAGAAGAGAAGGAAAATAGTTACCTAAAATGACCTAACCTTCAAGATGATTATTATCACTATTAGCATTTTTCCATGATTTTCAGACTTTTTTCTATATAGCCTTATACATATAAATACATATATTTTAACGAGATTAATGTTAACTCACTCTGTAAGCTGTTTTCTTACCTATTAATCATATGGATGTGCCATAATCTAGTTAATTGATGGACATTTTTATTGTTTCTGATTTCACTATTTTAGATAATATTGCTATGAACATCCTTGGATAATGATTCATTTTTCTGTATTATAATGTTGAGATCATTTGAGAATCAGAGAAACTGGCAGAGAAAATTATAGTGAGTCATTTTATGTTCGCAACAAAACTTGCATAATTTCAATTCCATGAGAGAATGTGGAATGAACTAAAATGGAAAATTTTCTTTTAAAGAATGAGCTTTTTGTCTGGGTGTAGTGGTTCATGCCTGTAATCCCAGCACTTTGGGATGTTGAGGCAGGAGAATCACTTGAGTCTAGGAGTTCTAGACCAGCCCAGGTAATGTGGCAGTTGCTCTACATTACAAAAGAATACAAAAATTGGCCAGCCACAGTGGCTTGTGCCTGTAGTCCCAGCTACTGAGGAGGCTGTGATGGGAGGATCGCTTGAGCCGGAGACGTGGAGGCGGCAGTGAGCCAGGATCACACCACTGCACTGCAGCCTGGGTGACAGAGTGAGACCCTGTCTCAAAAAAAAAAAAAAAGAAAAAAGAATGAATTTTATATTTTTGAAATTTTAAAACACGTTAGAAAAACAACTATCAGAACCATAGATGTCTACACTAAAAGTAGAAAAGTTAATTATAACTACATAAGAATTCTAGAAATAGTTTCAAACTACCAAAAGATATCCAAAGTAGAAGGGAAATAAATTATAATATATTTGAGATTGCTGGATGTAATGATGGAAAAGAAATAAAATCGATCCATGTAAGCACATAATAAATTATAATAATTTCATATTTTAAAAATTGGTACAGTTTAATTGTATCGAGGTAGCTAGAAGTTTGAAGAGTATTTTTGGCCCAGGTATGTATGATTAATGATCAAATGGAAGACACCAACAACAGGAATATTTCTGTATATTCATAAAATACTCTTTAATATGATATAATAGATATAATGTGATATATAATAAAGTACATACCAAAAGGGGAGCAAGTGAACAAAAAGTATATATTATTATATAATTAGTAAAAATGTTATGATACAAAGCATAGAAAAAAGAAGCACCAAAATATGTTTTTATTTATATAATAATTTTCTTTCTTTTTTCTTTTTTCTTTCTTTCTTCCTTTCTTCCTTTCTCTTTTTTCTTTCTTTCTTTCTTTTTTCCTTCCTTCCTTCCTTCCTTCCTTCCTTTCTTTCTTTCTTTCTTTCTTTCTTTCTTTCTTTCTTTCTTTCTTTCTTTCTTTCTTTCTTTCTTTCTCTTTCTTTCTCTCTCTCTCTCTCTCTCTCTCTCTCTTTCTTTCAGACAAGGTCTCACTCCATTGCCAAGACTGGAGTTCAGTAGTATGATAAGGGCTCACTGCACCCTTGACCTCCTGGGCTCAAGCAATCTCCTCCCACCTCAGTTCCCTGCATAGCTGGGACTATAGGCACGTGCCACCACACCCAGCTAATTTTTAAATTTTTTTCTAGAGATAGTATCTCACTACGTTCCCCAGGCTGGTTCCTATCTCCTGGACTCAAGCGATTCTCTCACCTTGACCTCTTAAAGTGCTGGGATTATAGGCATGAGTCACCGCACCCAGCCCAAAACATAGTTTTAAAAAGTGGATGAGATCATTGTCCAGATTGTAGTTAATTAATATCAAAGAGGCAAACACACGAATGGCCTAAGTAACTTATTACACAGAAAAAGGCATATTCTTACCAAAATAAGTACAAATCAACCTGGGGGAAAAAACAGTAAAAATACAAACACAAAAAAGTCATTGAATATTTAGAAGTGGGTATATCGTGGTAGCCTGGTAACTTGGTTTTGTCACTTGGAAAATGAACTGGCAGTATACAATGAGACCTACAAAATAGTTTATAAGTTTTGATACTCAATAATTTCACTTTGGGTTGTATATTCAAAAGAACTAATCGGAAAGGAATAAATATATAATTGTGAAACATTTGAAGCTACTCATGTTAAGTAATGAAGATGAAGTGAGAATGATTTTTAAATTGTTTACATTATAGTGTAGTATGAAAAGCCTTATTATATATTATCTCCTTCAATCCTCAGGGAGGAAGCTGTGACAAAGAGCTCACATAACTGGGACTGGAAACTAGGAGTCCTGTCTATGCAGAAATAAGACCCAGACTTAAACCTGGCTACATCCTGTGTCTTCTGGCTGTGGGACTTCAGCCCCCTTCCCAATATCTCTGAGCAGTAGTTTTCAGATCTGTAAATGGATCACAATGCTCAGTCTCTATGGCTCCCAGGTTTTGAGCAATAAATGAGATAATGCACGTGGAAGTGGAGCTCCTACCATGGGCCTGATAGGGCAATCACTGGGGTTGCAACTTTCTGAAAATGGGTCTTTAAATGAATCTTCAAACTGCACACTGAGGAGCGGGAAGATTTGGAACACGTTTAATCAGCAAGGGAGCAATGAAAGCAGAGACCAGTGGCAATGAGGGCCAAGTTAAAACAGGGCGGAGTGGAGTTGTAAAGAGAGAAGTAAAGTGGATTTGTTTGCACTGCCTGGGAAGGAGTAGGGTACAGAGGGGATTCAAGGGCACGTGCTTGTTTTTTTTAATTGAGACATTATGAACATCTCAGAACAAAAGCTTTGGGCTTTGGTAAGCTCCACCAGACACCTGGTTTAGGGCTTTTTCATTCCCCAAGACTCCTCCTCCCTTCCATGACACTCCTCCCTGGGACACATGCTTGGATTTGGCTCTGGAAATGCCCCGCCCCACCATGAAACCATCTAGTCTTTTCCCCAGGTTACTTCTCTTGTAGTCACGCAAAATCAAGGCTGAGGCTCCCTGTCACGACCCTCGGCACTTCACCTGAGTTCTAGGAGCCACTTTGGCAGTCCTCTTTCTGTGCCACCAATGGGAGTGAGGGGTGAGCCTGGCAGAGACACACATGCCACCCTGGGCTTTGTGACAAGGCCTGGACTCTAATGGGTCAAACCCAGGGCAAAGGCCATCCTCCATCTAGGTAACGAAGTGTTCATGACTCTGTGACAGCCAGGACAAGGGCAGTAAGTTTGCAGTAGAATGACACTGCAAATTGGTGAACCTTAGTGTAGGGTACGTCCCAGCCGGGCTTTAATACAGAGCAGCAATAATGACAACAACATTGCGTGTGTGTGTGTGTGTGTGTGTGTGTGTGTGTGTGTGTGTAAAACTGGTGCAGTCCTATCCATTGTCTGATTCGATCATGAGTGCCACATCCTCCCCAGACTTGGGTTAGAGTAGACCCAGATCCCCAGAACCCTTTTAAACCTGGGTGATTTAGAATTCAAACTACCATCACTTCTCCAGACTAGATTAAATGCCACCTGGACTGATCAGATCCAACATCCTACCATGAGTCTGGTATTTTCTTTGCTATTTTATCTAGATAATTCTTATTTAATCCTTTCAGCAATCCTAGGAAAAAAATATTCTTATCCCCATTTTACAGAGAAAGATAAGGAGGTTCAGAGATGTTAATAACTTGCTCCAGGTCACAGAGCAAATCAGCCGTGAAGCAGGTTTCAAATCCAGGTCTGCTTGACTCCAAAATCGATACTCATGCTACTCCGATGCATGCTACAGAGAGTTTTTCTGGGCCAGTAGTGGGAAGAAGGTAGAGATTTTTGCAAAATTGTCTTAGGGACCCAGTATAGAAGTATGCCACTAACTTTGGGGTTTCTGGACCACTTCCTGATAAGGGGCAGAGTTAGATGGGATGCCGAGGATGTCTGTGTGTTCTCTATGTACACACAGCAAGACAGACATTTTTTCCTTTAACATGTGTTTTGCTTTCTATAGAGAGAATCCTTTTTCTGACAGTCACTTTCTTTCCAAAGCTTAGAACATCATAGGCTCTTTGGCAGAGAGTACAGCTTTCAACAAGAAAAAGAAAAGTTTTTGGCCACTCTGCCCCCTTGCAGTTCAAGTATAATTCAAAATATCTGCTTCTATTTGTTTGCCTTTTGCAAAACCTCAAGGGTGATTTTGAAATAAATAGGAATAAAATATTTGACTGAACCAAAAGAGCCCAGTACCTGGCCATCCGAAAGTATTTATTTATTTGTTTAAACATTGCTGGAGTAATAGAAAATTTAAATGCAGTTATCAAAGACCAAAAGTTCAGAGATTAAATACTATGTTAGAGTCATTCCTTCTAATTAATTTTGAACTGTTTTCGAAAAACGAAGAACTTGCTGGGGAGACAATGATCAAGATCGTAACAAAGTTCCCCTAGAAGATTAACAGAGCTTGGAGTTTACTGTGGATCTCTGCCTGTGTGGAGAAGAAACAGTCAAACTAGAGGAAACAAAACTGTCTCTATAGACAAATTAAATTTTAGTGGATGTTCATGTGCACAGGTGGGCAGCAGCACCTTAGTCTAGTATGTTGGGATTGGGATCAGAGTCTTTTTCCATAAATGCAGCAGCATTGAGCAATATAATTCCATCTAAAATCTTATTGTATATTTTCTCATCTGCTTACTTTTTTTTGTTTGTTTGTTTGTTTTTGAGACAAAGTCTCGCTCTTTTGCCCAGGATGGAGTGCAGTCACACAGTCTTGGCTCACTGCAACCTCCGCTTCCTGGGTTCAAGTGATTCTCCTGCCTCAGCCTCTCAAGTAGCTGGGATTACAGGCATGCGCCACCCTGCACAGCTAATTTTTGTATTTTTAGTAGAGACAGGGTTTTACCGTATCAGCTAGGCTGATCTCAAACTCCTGACCTCAAGTGATCCACCCACCTCAGCTTCTCAAAGTGCTGGGATTACAGGCGAGAACCACCACACACAGCCTCGTTTGCTTACTTTTCAAAACAGCTCTGTGTTTGTGTGCGTGTACATGGTAAAATTTACAACGAAATACACATTTAGAATACATTCAGTGAGTTCTAATAAATGTATACACGTGAGTGCCTCAAACCCTTATCAAGACATAAAGCATTGCCATCACCCCAGAAGCAACGGCTGTTCTGAATTAGTGCATTAGTTTTCTGTATTTTGGGACTTCATACAAATAGAATCATATATAATGTGTAGTTTTTTTGGATAAGGCTTCTTTGACTCAGCCTAATGTTTTCCATTCATTATCATCCATATTCCGTGTATTAATAGTCCATTCCTTTTGATTATTGAATAGTATAACCATTATATAAGTATTCTACACTTTGAGTTGGGTTATTTTCTATTTTCCTATTGATGGACACTTGGCTGTTTCCAGTTTTGAGTCAAATAAAGTTGCTAAGAACATTCTAGTGCAAGTCTTTTTGTGGACACATTTTATTTCTCTTGAATAGATATCTATCAATGGAATTGCTGAGTCATGGGGAAGGTAAATGTAAATGTCAGGGTTTTTTTTCCCAGGATGATTGCCCCACTTCATACCTCCACCATCAAAATATGAGAGCACATGTTTGCTGCCATTAGATATTATCAGTGACCTCTCATTTTAGTTTTAATTTGCATTCTTCTGGATGACTAATGACATTAAGCACTTCATGGTTCTTTACTGGCCTTGTGTATGTCTTCCTTTGTAAAGTGACTGTTCAAATCTTTTTCCATTTTAAAATATTGGGTTTTCTTTCTTTTTTCCTTATTTTTTTTTTTGAGATGGAGTCTCGCTCTGTCGCCCAGGCTGGAGCGTAGTGGCATGATCTCGGGTCACTGCAACCTCCGCCTCCCGGGTTCAAGCGATTCTTCTGCCTCAGCCTCCCGAGTAGCTGGGATTACAGGCAAGTGCCACCACGCCCAGCTAATTTTTGTATTTTTAGTAGTGATGGGGTTTCACCATATTGGCCAGGCTACTCTTGAACTCCTGACCTCATGATCTGCCCGCCTCGGCCTCCCAGAGTGCTGGGATTACAGGTGTGAGCCGCCGCGTCTGGCCAGGTTGTCTTTTTATTACTGAGTTGCCAGTGTGCTTTACGTTTCTTCACATGGTATATATATATATATATATATATATGTGTGTGTGTGTGTGTGTGTGTGTGTGTGTGTATATATATACCCTCTCCCTCAGAGAGTGGAGCCCCAGTTACCTCATCTTTTTGTCTGTCTTTCTCCCCAGAATGATGCCAGGGATTCTTCTTTGTTTGGTACTATATTTCCAGTGCTTCAGATTGCCACTGGCACTGAGTAGGAGCTCAATAAACATTTGCTGAAAGAATCAATGAATAATCAAGTAAACTGATTTTTGGGTCTGATATTCAGACACAATGTTCTTGAACTTAATGGCATTAATTAACAAGGAAATTGAAAAAAAGGACATTTAAATGCTATCCTTGAGGTATCACATATGCTTGGCACCAAGGACACAGAATACCTTCAGGGGACTGGACATGGTGGCTTCTGCCTGTAATCCTAGTACTTTGGAAGGCTGAGGTGGGAGTATCACTTGGGCCCAGGAGTTGGAGATCAGCCTGGGCAACAAGGTGAGACCCTATCTGTACAAAAAAAAAAAAAAAATTAACCAGGTATGATGGTGTGCACCTGTAGTCCCAGCTACTTCTAGGGCTGGGGTGGGAGGATAGCTGGATCCTGGGAGTTCAAGGCTGCAGTGAGGCCTGATTGAACCACTGAACTGCAGTCGGGGTGACAGAGTAAGTCCCTGTCTCAAACAACAACAACAACAACAAAGCCCAAAACAGAATACCTTCAGGGGATTTGTTCACCCAGGGGAGATACTGCTAGACTATCTCATGGAGTGGCCTAATTTGTCCCCATTTATGAGCCCTCTAGTGTAAGCCATCACTGCTGTCTCATCTACCGCATTCTGGGACTATGCCCAGCCACTTCCAAGTCTTGGATTCCGACCAGATTTGCTTAATGGATGAGCAGAACGTCTAGCTTTAGAGAGTTTTAGGTAACTTCACCCAGCTGATCCCACTGTGCCTTTAACCACCTTCCTCTTGGCCCCTTCTGACACTGATAATGCCTGTTCCCTAACCATTGGCCCCTCTGCCTGGCTCTGTCTCACTAGCAGGCCCATCCCCACTCTGTGCTCTGCCTTTCTTAACACCCCTAAAGGGCCACGCAGGAAAGGATGGGACAAGTTGATTATGACATCCCTTTCTAGCTCTAAGGAATTCAATAATTCTGATATTCATCCCTAAAGAAATTTATCAGCAGCTATTAATTGGGCTTTCCTAATTTGACACTGAAAGGCCGGTAGGGTCCCCTAAGTCTTGAAGCCATTTTCCTGGTCCCGAATCCAGCAGATTCCAGCCTATCTGGTTTGGGGGGTGTCTACAGTGAATCATCTGTATTCACATTTATAGAGAACTTTGCCATTTGCATGTTCATATCTGTCATCTTATGTAAACTGCCAAACAGTTCTAGTTGTAGCCCTCTTTAGTTTCTATTTTCCCGAAGTTTCTATTTCCCAAAGCAAAAAGAGGTGAGTTTTCATTTCTTTTTTTTCTTTTTTTTTTTTTTTTTTTTTTTGAGACAGGGTCTCGCTCTGTTGCCCAGGCTGGAGTACAGTGGTGCAATCATGGCTCACTGCAGCCTTGGCCTCCTGGGTTCAAGTGATCCTCCCACCTCAGCCTCTCCAGTAGCTGGGACTACAGGCATATGCCACCATGCCTGGCTAATATGTTTTTATTTTTCATAGAGATGAGGTCTCACTATGTTGCCCAGGCTGATCTCAAACTCCTGAGCTTAAGCAATCCTCCCGCCTTGACCTCCCAAAGTGCTGGGATTACAAACCACTGCTCCTGGCAGAGTTTTCAAAAATCCTCTAGCTCTTGCTAAAAAAAGTTGGTGCTTTCTTAGCTCTGGTGGGTATGCAAGTGTAATATTTAAAAGGCTCATAGATTTTTACAGTTCAGAAACCTGGATTCTGTCTGTCATTAGAAATTCAATTACACACCGCAGACATCTATGAGTAGTTCCTAACCTTTTAATTTAACCATTATTATGGATTTTTTCCCCCTTGGATCACATGTTATTTTCTTTTAAGTCCACCAAAAACTGTATTTATTGGCTCACTTTACCTTTTTTATTCATCAGACTTGTACCTCCCAGTCAGAGTTTAGAATCAGGATCAGATAGTCTCTTACCTCACTAAGCTGATTTTATTACAGCCAAAATAAAGACATTTGATATTTAATTAGCTTCCAAACCTAATAACTAGTACATTTCCATTTCTGCTGGGCTTTTTGAAAGATTAAAAAGTTCATACATTAACCCTTGAGAAAGTGGAAACAGTTTAGTTCTTGTGAAGAAGTAGCCCTGTGTGTTCAGGGACTTCACTCTTGCCGTGTCTCTGATGTCTGAATGGGAGCAACGGGGATATTACTGACTTTAACCCTTTTCACTGCGATCTGGGCCTTTCTCTGGCTCTATAGGGACTGGGGATCAACCACCCCCACCCTAGTATTTCCTCAGCTACTGGAGTATTTGGGTTCTCAGTTCAAGCCTATAGGACTTGGGGAGAACATGCATTCACTGAAACGATGACATTCCTCTAAGGTGCAAATGTTAAAAGGTCATGCAACCAGAACTATTACATAAAATCAAAAATTTTCCAGTTTGAATTATACTCTCAAAGGACCATGATGAGTATTCTAAAGGCAGTGTTTGTTTCTAAATTAATAGAATTAATAAATGTTATTCTGTTTGCCAATTATAGAAGATACAGTTGTTGAAGACTATTAATGTAATATGCAATTGCATTATAATTGTATTATTTAACAGATTGTGTTGCATGAATCAATGAGATATGATGCTGTAATTTAAAAATAATTATTTTATGGAAGCAAAACTGCTTATGAATAACATTAAGTGAATGCAGAATGAATAACTTAGGTATGTAGACTCACAGCTAAGAAAAATATATATACATGTAGCTAATGGCTCAGGGTAATCTGCAGAAATGAAAAAAACTATATTAGAATGGACAAAGGTGAGTCTCTTTCAAAATATTTTTTATATAAGTTGTTACATGTATCAGTTTCGCAATTAAAAGTTTAAGATGGATTTATATTGGCTCCAGTGAAGAATATGTGTTTTATTAATTAATACTGTGCTTGGTTTTGTCTTATTTTATAGGAGAACCAGCAGAAATCCACCAATGTAGTCTATCAGGCCCACCATGTGAGCAGGAATAAGAGAGGGCAAGTGGTTGGAACAAGGGGTGGGTTCCGAGGATGTACCGTGTGGCTAACAGGTATGTCATGTTCATATATATATATATATATACAAATTGCAAACTGACATGTGACACAATTTTATGGAAATTAGTGTAACGTATTACATGCTTGTTTTATCATTAGAAGGAGGCTGGGAGATGTAGTAGAAAGCCTGGGTGTTAGTCCTAACCCTACCATCAGTGAGAAATAGAGTCAAGGTCAACTACAGAAATAAGAGTCTGATCAAGTCAACTGTGAAAGTCTCTAGTTGTCACTTTTCTCCTCTTTGGCAGGAAAGGACGGGACAAGATGATTATGACATCCCCTTTCAGTGCTAAGGGATTCAATAATTCTCATGTTCATCCCTAAACATATTTACTGGCAGTTATGAATGAGGCTTTCCTAATTTGACATCAAGCATTTGGCTGTCCATAAGGTTTTGGATATTTAGAGATATTCGTTATTGTTGCCTAATGTTTTGACATTCTAGGAGACTATTTCACTTACTATATAAACAACAAACAAACATAAGAATCTGTACAAGAAGGAAAACTAGCAATTTCCATTTGGCTGAGGATTGCCCTTGTTTACAGAAATAACTTGCTGCTGCTGAAGTGACTGAATGACTCTCCCTTTTCTTGTGTTTTTATAGCCACAGAATGTCAAAACTGAGAATTAGTGACAGAACTGGAATTAGAACCTGACTCCCAATAGCTGGCCCTAGGCTGTTACCTTGTACTCTGAGTCCAAGGTAGACAAAATTATTTCTGGACTCAAAAGGAAAAACCAAGTTCATTTCATAGACAACAGTTTTCAAATGGAATGAGCCCACCTGCAAAACTATGTTTATTCAGGTTATAAAATGATAATGTTTTCTAACCTGGAGCTCATTCTAAACAATCTGGCAGGTGGGGACCTGCCTTGCATCTTTTCTTGCTGTCCTAAATCTTTGCCCTTTTCTGTCCCAACTGGCCTCATTCTTGTACTCTTCAAGTTTTTGCCTTGTGCCTTTGGTTTCCTGGTTTCATTCATGCCTGGACTGTGCATCGAAACAACTTTCTGCAGCCTCCAGTGCAAGGACAGACAGTGAGCAAGGAACCTGCTGTGCTCTAATATGCACCATCCTTCTGTCATTACTCCTGAAATGTTTACCTCAACTCCCCCCAAGAGACGTAATTTGAGCAGTAGGTACAGCTGTATTCTAGAAGATCCCCTCCTGTTATATGTTTCCCTTCATGCGAAGATCACTGGTGAAAACAACTTTCGTGTTGGGCTATACACACAAAGTCCATTTTCTCTAATGTGACACCCCTTGAAAAGAAAAAGAGAATTGGTAGAAGAGAAACATATCTAAAGGGTATACTTTCTCCTTCTTTACTCTTAAAATGAATTATTTCTTCATTAGAGGAAGAAAAGAATATATGGCAAATTTTAAAAAATCAAGGCCGGGCTTGGTAGCTCTTGCCTATAATCCCAGCACTTTGGGAGGCCAAGACAGGTGGATCACCTGACATCAGGAGTTCAAGACCAGCCTGGCCAACACAGCGAAACCCTGTCTCTCTACTAAGAAGACAAAAATTAGCCAGGCGTGGTGGTGCACGCCTGTAATCCCAGCTGCTCGGGAAGCTGAGGCAGGAGAATCACTTGAACATAGGAGGCAGAAGTTGCAGGGAGCTGAGATCCGCCACTGCACTCCAGCCTGGGTGACAGAATGAGACTCCATCTCAAAAAATAAAAATAAAAAATTAAATTAAATTAAAAAGTCATCTTTTTCTAATTTATTTTTTATTCTTATGTTACAAAGGTAGGCTGTTGACCAGGCAGACCAGAAGAAACAAAATACTTTAAATCCATAGACTCAGATTTTAGCCCCAACTCCACCTCCATGAGCTGTGTGACTTTGGACAAGCCAGTTAGGCTCTCTAAGCCTCAGTTTTCTTATTTGTACAATGGGAATAAAGATAGTACCTGACTTATGGAGGTGTCGATAGAACTAAATCAATAAAAGACAAATGTGCTTTGCACAGTGCCTGGCACATAGTTAAGTTGTCAGTAATTGTAATTAGTGTTACCTCAATGTATGAAAGTACGTGTGCCAACAATCTGGTTACATATACTTACTGTAATTTAGCTCTTTGTTTCCTGAGAGCTGAAGCAAAATGGAAGGACATTCTGTTATTTCTCTCATTTTCTGACATGAGAGAACACACCAGAGATTCAGGAGTGCCACTTCCCCTACCCCACAACCTGACATAAATACTAAGAAGAATTTATCACCTATGTCTTTATTTAAATGAAAAGGAATAACAGAATTACAGACAATACCTTCAAAAATGATTTGATGAAGTTAGTGTTGACACGTTCTTCATA
The DNA here is from genome assembly GCF_000001405.40 of Homo sapiens. NCBI lineage: Eukaryota > Metazoa > Chordata > Mammalia > Primates > Hominidae > Homo > Homo sapiens. The sequence continues at coordinate 87,711,646 of NC_000010.11, forward strand.
CAGCCATTTCTTCTAATGGTCCTCTGTCAAAGCCAAAGGCATGACTTTAAAATATAACTAAAAGTATGGAGACTATTCACCTTTTGCAGATCACCTTCCCCCCCACCCAAATCCTCCTTCCTCTGTCTGTCCTTCATTCCTGCTTTTTCTGCCCTTTTTCCTCTTTCCTCCTGTTGTCTTCTCTGTATGAACCTCTTGGCTTTTTTCCTCTGTCATGCCAAGGTGCTGTCGGACAGAGGCTTGGCACCATGAAATATTCTTAGGTTCAGAGATCTTTAAGACAAAGATCCTAAAATCCTAAAGGACCCATTTTTTTTTTTAGAGTGCTAGCCTTTAGGGTAGTTCAGATTTAAACTGTTAAATAATTTTGGCAGGTTGTGTTTCTTTCCCTTCTTATGTTCCTCCTCATATGGAAATTACAAAGTGTGTTCCTGATCATTGTGCTTTGAAACCATGGTGGAAGCCACATGGTAACTCTTTTCTCATATAAAGACTCTAGAGAATCTTTACACCTAAGAGTGTGACATATGGCAGCTCTAAATACATCTGCTCCCTAGCTCAGGCCGGCTTCCTGTCTTTATGTTTTGAGAGTCATTTTGGAAACATCTAGAAGCCAAAGGACAGCCTGCGGGCTCTGTAAGACGGTTGTTCAGTGGCATCCACGAGGGAGGTGGACTTACCAGTCTCCAGGGGCTGGCTGTTTCCCTCCATTCCAGCTGATTGCTGACTTTGAAGGGGATATGAGACCACTGTCACCACATCTTTTGATTTTTTCAAGAGAATACAGAATCTGGATTTGTATACACAACTTCCTTTTTGCTTTGGAGACAAGGCCTCGCTCTGTTACACAGGTTGGAGTGTAGTGGTGCCATCACGGCTCACTGCATGCAGCCTTGACTTCCCAGGCTCAAGGGGTCTTCCTACCTCAGCCTCCTGAGTAGCTGGGACCACAGGAGTGCACCACCACACCCGGCTAATTTTTTTTGTTTTTTGTAGATGCAGGGCCTCACTATGTTCCCCAGGCTAGTTTCGAACTCCTGGGCTCAAGTGATCCTCCCACCTTGGCCTCCCAAAATGCTGGGATTACAGGCATGAGCCACCACCATGCCCAGCCTGTATGACAACTTTCTAATCTTTAAAACACTCTGCAGCCCAAACAGAACACATCGAGGACCACATGTAGCCCCCAAATCTCCCTATTTATGAAGCCTGCTTGCTTTGAAAAGCTATAATCCTAACACAGGACAAATAGTTATTTCAAAATTTGAGAGAAATGTAAGTACTTGCCTTGTAGTCAACTACACTGATTTCTTTCTTTCTTTTTTTTTTTTTTAAGATTTAGTTATATTTAAAATTACTAGATTAGTTCACAATTTGTCATCTTAAACTATCCAGGCCGATGTCAGTCTGTTTTATCTGTTCTGAACAGGTCTCTCTGGTGCTGGAAAAACAACGATAAGTTTTGCCCTGGAGGAGTACCTTGTCTCCCATGCCATCCCTTGTTACTCCCTGGATGGGGACAATGTCCGTCATGGCCTTAACAGAAATCTCGGATTCTCTCCTGGGGACAGAGAGGAAAATATCCGCCGGATTGCTGAGGTGGCTAAGCTGTTTGCTGATGCTGGTCTGGTCTGCATTACCAGCTTTATTTCTCCATTCGCAAAGGTAAAAAAAAAAAAAAAAAAAAAAGGCACTACACACGATTCCCACACACAGTGCAAGTGCTCTCCAACTGCTAGGGGAAGGAATCGGAGAGGGAGGGCATAAGAATGTCTCCTTTCAATTTCCCGACTATTTCTTCCCCCAATAACAGGCTCTCTCATTTCCTCTATTTAATATTGGTTATATAAAGGAGTTCCTTCCTTTCCAGATGCCAGGGCACCAGTAGACATAAACCCTTCCATGTTCACAATTATAAGGAACATTTGGTGAGAGTCGAAGGGAAGAGAAAGTTAAACAAGAGAAACTCTAAACCTCTGTAATTTTAGTTGTCGGAAAAAGGATCTAGTTAAAGAAAAGAGCAGTTCATGGCCAAAGCTTCGGGTTCTATGTGTTTAATGCTGACATCACTGAGATGGAGTGTCACTCTTCTTTTAAATCAGGAAATTTCTGGGAGCCAAACATCAGATGTAGCTTAGAACACATCCTTTGAATGAAATGCTCCCATATGGCCAGTGCTTTCCTGCTAAGAGGGCCTATTTTCCATGATTTTCTGTGAAAGTCCTTGAGAGAGCTGTGTTTACCAGAGTAAAATTTCTGGACTTTCTCTCAAGCACTCTGCAAAGCACAAACCCCAGTGTTATCTCAAGGCTATTGAAAACCAAAGTACACAGTGTTTTGTGATTTAGAATTTCACCGTGAAACCTCTTTTTACATTCTTAATCATATTGCTTTTCAGGATCGTGAGAATGCCCGCAAAATACATGAATCAGCAGGGCTGCCATTCTTTGAAATATTTGTAGATGCACCTCTAAATATTTGTGAAAGCAGAGACGTAAAAGGCCTCTATAAAAGGGCCAGAGCTGGGGAGATTAAAGGTAAGAGAATTGGCTAGTAGCGTCTACCAGTTACATAGGCTGTCAGTCCTCAGTCCTTATTCTGTCCTCAGAAATCTTCCTTGAGTTTCAAACTGTTTTCCAAAATTGCATATAACATGCACAACTTTTTATCAGATCATGATATATTCAGTATGCCCAGAGGCTTATTAAAAGGTAGGGTTTTATTTTTAAGAATTGTCATCTCAGCCATATGCAATAACGTTCAGAGAACTAGAATGGATATTTATATGTGAGTGTGTGTGTGTAGAGGAGTGTTTCAGAGTTCTTCCTTATTCTTGTCTTCCTTTTTGATTGTAATCATCTATAGAGGGCTTCAACTTAGCCAGCAGGATTTTGTTGACAATTTGGGGCTTTCCATATTGAAAATACAGCTATATATTTTCTTACTTATGGCTAGAAGTCAAGGATGGCTGTTTGACCTTTTCTGTTAAAGTGTGAATTTTCAGTTTAATACATTATTCCAACATGTGTTTTGCCTTATTGATTAAAAAGATTATTCTGTCAATACAGATGCGATGATTGTCACCCATATGCTTTGCAGGATTTACAGGTATTGATTCTGATTATGAGAAACCTGAAACTCCTGAGCGTGTGCTTAAAACCAATTTGTCCACAGTGAGTGACTGTGTCCACCAGGTAGTGGAACTTCTGCAAGAGCAGGTAGGTGAACCGGTTGTCTTTTTTTATATGTTTAATAAAATCATGAAAGACAATCTATGCCTCTTTACTGAAGCATTCTTTTTACAGTTTTCAAGTTTTTACCAATGCTGTTTCATTTCAGAACATTGTACCCTATACTATAATCAAAGATATCCACGAACTCTTTGTGCCGGAAAACAAACTTGACCACGTCCGAGCTGAGGCTGAAACTCTCCCTTCATTATCAATTACTAAGGTAAGTGGGTGCAGACTGGTCAAATAATTAGGCTTAATATCAGTCATTATAATTTATTTACAATTACTCTTAACAATAAGAAAAGTATAAATAAGGTGCACATAATGTCCATAAATAAAACACTCCTTTTTTTCCAAGTTATTTTTAACCTCTTCTCCAAAGAAATCTCTCACCAAGAATTGCCACAAGGCAGCTGATCAATGCCATGTATGGAGGTGACTGGGAAAATAACTTCTGTATTTGCATTGGACAATTTTACATAGCTGTCATTGTACCAGTAAGTACATCTGGTAGAAAAATATAGCCAGACCAGGATTTTTGTGGATAAAAGAAAGAAAGAATAAACAGTGAATTTTCAACTCAGTTGCACATTTTGGGAATAGATACAACCTAAAAATGTTCAAATAAGTCATCTCAATACAAAATCTTTTCACCACTATTTCATAGGAAACTTCCAAACTTAAATATTTCTGGCCCTTAGATCATGGGTTAGCATAACAGGTGGGGACACTTAAAACATAGAAGGTTCTGCCCTCATCCTCCTGTTAACTGAATAAGAAAGGACTTCCCTGGGGCCAGATGCCTGGAAAACAGAACTTATGAAAATGTTCAACTACTTTTTGTGTTTTGCAGCTGGATCTCCAGTGGGTCCAGGTTTTGAGCGAAGGCTGGGCCACTCCCCTCAAAGGTTTCATGCGGGAGAAGGAGTACTTACAGGTTATGCACTTTGACACCCTGCTAGATGGTATGTTTTTGTTGTTGTTTCTTACTCTTTGTTGTTAAGGAAAAAAAAAAATCTTTCCCAGAAGTTTTGCAGGAACAGGAAGTTAGTCTTTAGTTTGCAAATCTTATTGCAAAACTGTTTGGATCATTTACAGTGTGCTCCATTCTATTATGTTTAAGCTTCCATTTTTAGGATTTTTTGGTTGTTCTCAAAGGTTGTTCCTTTAAAACTAAGGAACTGAAAAATGGTGTAAAGCCAAGAGAAAGACAGGTCTGTTTCATCTCCACTTGCTCTTTGCTGGTGCTGATATTCAGAAGGTAGCACGCAGAAGTACCATTGCCACCTGCTAGGGACATTCCTAGGGCAGCCAAGATGAGGTCAGCACATGTTGCTGACCTCCATGGCACCCTCCACCCTCCAGGTTGCTCATGTCAAGCATTATTGCAACAACTGCTTTCTTTGGTGCATGCTAAAGTGTCAATGTTCATGCCCACACATGAAATATATTAAAATGGTTTCATCCACTACACTCTAACAAAAGAGCATTAAGGCAGCTTTCTGGCCACGAGCTGAATGGCTTTTGGAAAACCAATCTGGTCAAGCTCAGAAACATGTGTTATTGTGAAGACTTCCGGACCCTTCTGTGATCATTTCCTTCCTAGAACTGCCTGAACTTATCAAATAAACTTATCTATTTCAAGACCTTCGGGGAATGGCTGCTAAGTGGGGAAGGAGTAGGGGTAGAGTCACGCTGAATTTGTAATGCTGAGCAGGGCTCCAAGCCTTTTAGGAAGAAAAATCAAATAAGATGCTCTTTTTTGGGAGAGGTGTTCATGTCCTGTGTTTGTGCCTTTGCCTGGGGAATGGGGCATGAACTCAGAATCAGAACTCAAAGACTGATCAGCATGGGCCCTCTTCCCTTATTCTTTTGCTGTGACAGATAACACCCCACAACCTGAATCCTTCACTTCTCAGATTAAATAATATTCCCCAAAGACACTTAGTTTACTTCTAGCTTGCTTTAACAACAAAAATAATAATGCATATCCCTATACCACGTCTCTGTTTTCAAAGCATTTTCTCAGGCATTATTTCATTTGATCCTCACAAAAGCCCTAGAAAACAGGCAGCAATTATTATCCCACTTTACAGATGAGGAAACTGCCTCAGATTAAGTGATTTGCTCATAACATTCATAAGTGAAAGCCCAAGACCAGAGTCCAGAATCTTAGGAATCCTGGCCCAGTGCTCCTTACATACCAGTCTGCTCTCCTGATGTCTTTTCCAATAGAATCTACAAGGCCTGATGGTCTACAAGGAAGGCTGACTTTTATCTTGGTGTCTTGATTTTGACACATGCTGAACACCGACTGCCTGAAGTAAAGGTCATTGGACTTAGCAGCTAGCCATGAGCAAGAGGTTGATTTTGAGCATATGAACAGAGCTGTGGCCAAAAGACAAGTGAACTACATTGAAAGAGGGGGCCTCATTACAGACAACAAGGTGCTGTTGACCTTGGACAAGTGTTCCTCTCATAAAGAAAAATACTAGGGTGGTGGAAGTGGTTGCAGAGGTCAGTGTTAATGGAAATCAGAGGTCCTTAGCCTGAGATCTAGGACTTCAGGGTGGGCTAACAAAAAATCTTAGAGGCAAAAATGTTTGTGTTTTGATAAGGGAAGGAAGGAGCATTTTCCTGGGTTGAGAATTTATAGCTTTTGATAGATTCTGTTTTTTCCTTTAATTATTTTTTATTTTTTAGAAATAGGGTCTTGCTCCATCACCCAGGCTAGAGTGCAGTGGCATGATCATAGCTCACTGAAGCCTTGAACTCCTGAATTCAAGCAATCCTTCCACCTCTGCCTCCTGGGTAGCTGGGACTACAGGCATGTACCACCATGCCTGGCAGATTTCTAAATTTGTTTTGTAGAGATAAGGTCTCACTATGTTGCCCAGGGATAAGGTCTCACAGTGTTGCCCAGGCTGATCTTGAATTCCTTTCCTCCAGTCATCCTCCTGCCTTGGCCTTGCAAAGTGCTATTATAGACAACAAATTCTTAAAAGAGTCTGTGATCCAAAAAGATGAAGAACAGCTAATGCAGATAATCCATCTGGATGATTTAGGCAAAATCTCTAGCCTTTCTTTTACACTGTCTCAATTTCATTTTATGGGGGTTTTTCAACTTGCAAAACCTGTTGATTTTCTTTTTTCTTTTCTTTTTTTTCTTTTTTCTTTTTTTTGAGACAGAGTCTTGCTCTGTCACCCAGGCTGGAGTGCAGTGGCATGATCTCAGCTCACTGCAACCTCTGCCTCCCGGGTTCAAGCGATTCTCCTGAGTAGCTAGGACTACAGGTGCATGCCACCATGCATGGCTAAGTTTTGTATTTTTAGTAGAGACAGGGTTTCACTATGTTGGCCAGGCTGGTCTTGAGCTCCTTGACTTCAGATAATCTGCCCGCCTCAGCCTCCCAAAGTGCTGAGATTACAGGTGTGAGCCACGGTACCCTGCCAACCCATTGATTTTCTATTTCTTATTTGATGCTCACTACCGTGAGGTGGATGAAGCACTTATTATTGCTCCCACTTTCCATGTAATCCAGATGTCTGTCCCCGCAAACCCACCAGCCTGGGGATATGAATGAGGTTACCTTCCCATTAATACTTGAAGCCTACTAGTTCCAAGCCCCTACCTGCTCATGCAGAAAGCCCAGTTCTTTCAAAAGCCTACCCAAGTGTTTTTGGGAGTCCCCAAGGGGTGCGTTTCCTGTGTTCCTGAGTCAGGGCCCCAGCCATGTGCCACTTGCTGTGTGATTCTGTGGGTCTGTCTGTACTCAGAAGTGCAGATCATGCTGGGTCACTCCAGCCACCAAAGTTTTGGTGCCAGTAGGGCTTTTGCAGTTTATGGACTCTTCTTCAAGTGGGAAAAATTGTTTCCTTCCTCTGTATTAACCTCAATTGAAGACTGTCTAGGAGGTTGCTTTAGTTCCACAGTGTTAGAGAATTGAGTGAGGCAACTCTTGTAAGGTGTATAG